>NC_000006.12:101585941-101737456 GCF_000001405.40 Homo sapiens | reverse complement strand
ATCCACATAAGATATGATTTGCTCCTCCTTGCCTTCTGCCATGATTGTGAGGCTCCCCAGCCATGTGGAACTATAAGTCCATTACACTTCTTTCTTTTGTAAATTGACCAGCCTTAGGTATGTCTTTATCAGCAACATGAAAACAAACTAATACTGTAAATTGGAACTAGTAGAGTGGGGTGCTGCTGAAAAAATACTGAAAATGTGGAAGCAACTTTGGAACTTGGTAACAGACAGAGGGTGGAACAGATTGGAGGGCTCAGAAGAAGACAGGAAAATGTGGGAAAGTTTGGAACTCCCTAGAGACTTGTTGAATGGCTTTAACCAAAATCCTGATAATGATATGGACAATGAAATCAAGGCTGAGGTGGTCTCGGGTGGAGATAAGGAACTTGTTGGGAACTGGAGAAAAGGTGATTCTTTTAGCAAAGAGACTGGTGGCATTTTGCCCCTGACCTAAAGATATGTGGAACTTTGAACTTGAGAGAGATGATTTAGGGTATCTGGTGGAAGACATTTCTAAGCAGCAAAGCATTCAAGAGGTGACTGGGGTGCTGTTAATAAGGGAAGCAGAGCATAAAAGTCTGAAAAATTTGCAGCCAGTCTGACAATGCAATAGAAAAGAAAATTCCATATTCTGAGCATAAATTCAAGCTGACTACAGAAATTTGAATAAGTAACAAGGAGCTGAATATTAATCCCCAAGACAATGGGGAAAATGTTTCCAGGGCATGTCAGAGGTCTTTGCAGCAGTCCCTCCCATCACAGGCCCAGAGGCCTAGGAAGAAAAACTGGTTTTGTGGGCCGGGCCCAGGGTCCCCATGCTGTGTGTAGTCTAGGGACATTGTGCCCTGCATCCCAGCTGCTCTAGCCACGGCTGAAAGGGGCCAATGTAGAGCTCAGGCTGTGGCTTCAGAGGGTGCAAGCCCCAAGCCTTGGCAGCTTCCATGTGGTGTTAAGCCTGTGAGTGCACAGAAGTCAGGAAATGCGGTTTGGGAACCTCTGCCTAGATTTCAGAAGATGTATGGAAACACCTGGATGCCCAAGCAGAAGTTTGCTGCAGGGATGGGGCCCTCGTGGAGAAACTCTGCTAGGGCAGTGTGAAAGGGAGATGTTGGGTCGGAACATCCACACAGAGCCCCTACTGGGGCACTGCCTAGTGGAGCTGTGAGAAAAGGGCCACCATCCTCCAGACCCCAGAATGATAGATCCACTGACAGTTTGTACTGTGCACTTAGAAAAGCTGCAGACATTCAACACCAGCCCATGAAAGCAGTCATGAGGGAGGCTGTACTCTGCAAAGCCACAGGGGCAGAGCTACCTAAGACCATGGGAACCCACATCTTACATCAACATGACCTGGATGTGAGACATGGAGTAAAAAAAGATCATTTTGGAGCTTTGACTGCCCCACCAGATTTTGGACTTGCATGGGGCCTGTAGCCCCTTTGTTTTGGGCCGATTTCTCCCTTTTGGAATGACTGTATTTACCCAATGCCTGTACCACCATTTTATCTATGAAGTAACAAACTTGCTTTTGATGTTACAGGCTCATAGGCCTAAAGAACTTGCCTTATCTCAGATGAGACTTTCGATTGTGAACTTTTGAGTTAGTGCTGAAATGAGTTAAGACTTTGAGGGACTGTTGGGAAGGCATGATTGGTTTTGAAATGTGAGGGCATGAGATTTAGGAGGGGCCTGGGGAGGAATGATATGGTTTGGCTCTGTGTCCTCACTCAAATCTCATCTTATAGCTCTCATAATTCCCATGTGTTATAGGAGGAATCTGGTGGGAGATAACTGAATAATAGGGATGGGTCTTTCACATATTGTTTTCATGATAGTGAATAAGTCTCACGAGGTCTGATGTTTTTAAAAATGGAAGTTTCCCTACACAAGCTCTCTCTCTCTGCCTGCTGCCATCCACCTAAGATGTGACTTGCTCCTCCTTGCCTTCTGCCATGATTGTGAGGCCTCTCCAGCCATGCAGAGCTGTAAGTCCATTACACTTCTTTCTTTTGTAAATTGCCCACTTTTGGATATGCCTTTATCAGCAGCCTGAAAGCGGACTAATACAGTATGTTTTCTAAACCCTGTTATTTCTGAGATATTGTATAAATGTCAACATATTGAATACAATAGGAGCCAAAAAAAAGTTGATGGTACCTCCAGGGCTTCCCTTCCTCTATCCATCAAATACTGGGTGCCTTTTCATCAGATCCTTTATCGCTACATTTTTTACATTCTCTACCTAGGAAATCTTGGCCTGTTACAACATGTAAGTCTATCCCAGACTACACCTCTGGACCTCAGACCTGCACCACTTAAACTTCATAAACCTAAAACTAAAGTCATCCTCTTCCTATAAAACTTCCTTCTTTCTTCATTTGTGGTAAATCACACACTACAAATATATTTGCTAAATCTAGCCACTGGCCACCATTATTGATCCCTCCCTTTTATTCTCTCCTCATATCAAATCAATCTCTCACTATATTTCAAAACTCTCCCATTCTCAATGAAGACAAGCTGGATCAAGCTGGAACTCCACTTTCTTCTCCATGAAGACAAGTTGAGATCAAACCACAATTTCTAACTACAGTACCACCTTTCTCTCTGCCTTTCCTCTCAACAACCCAAACTTCCTCATGTCCTTTTAAAAAATAATAATAGTAATCAGATTACCTTATTTACCTCCTTAAAAATCACCAATGGGTTGTCATTTTCCTTAGGACAAGTTCCCAATTCTTTAATGTGTCCTTCAGGGCCCTGTAGGATCTGCTCCAGCCTCTTTCTATAATTCCCCCCACCCAAGGTCTTTACCTCTAGGCTCCCTGTGATGGTTAATTATATGTGTCAACTTGACAGGGTCATGGGTACCCAAATACTTTGACAAACATGATTCTTGGTGTGTCTGTGGGTATGTCTTTATATGAGATTAACACTTGAATTAGTGGACTGAGTAATTGTCCTCCCTAATGTATTATAGGTGGGCCTTATCCAATCATTTGAAGGCCTGGATAGAGAAAAAGGGCTGACCCTCATGTGCTGAACAGAGAACTTCTCCTGCCTGACTGCCCTGAGGTTAGACATTAATGTTTTCCTGCTTTCTGACTCAAGCTACAATATTGTCTCTTTTTAGGTTTTGAGTCTGCTGGCTTTTAGACTGGAACTATAACATTAACTCTTCTGGGTCTCCAGCATACCAACTTCAGATCTTGGAACTTCTTAGTCTCCATAATTGCTTGAGTCAGTTTCTTGTACTATATTATCTGTTGGTACTGTTTCTTTGGGGAACTTTGACTAATACAGATTTTGGTAACAAGAGTGTGGTGCTGCTGTAACAAATACCTGCATATGTGGAAGCAGCTTTGGAACTCAGTAGTGGGTGGAGGCTGTAGGAATTTGAAGTGCATACTAAAAATATGGGCATTAATTAAGTGGTGATAATAGGAAGTTAAAACAAATTTTAAAGAAACATAAAAATATGAGTGTTAAGGGCAATTCTGGTGATGTGTCAGATGGAAATGAGGACATATCAGAAACTGGAGGAAATGTGATTCTTGTTACAAATTAGCAAGGGATTTGGCTGAACTATGTTTTAGTGTCTTGTGGAAGGAAGGACTACGAACAATGAAACTAGATAATTAGCTGAGGAGATTTCTAAGCAAAGTATTGAAGAAGCAGCTAATTTGATTCCTCCTGACTGCTTATAATAAAATACAAAAAAAAAAAAAAAAAAAAAAAAGAAAGAGGAATTAAATCAGGAATTTGTCAAGCAAAAAAGAACCAGACCTTGAAGATTTGGAAAATTCTCAGCCTATTCATATTACCAGAGAGAGAGAGAAAGCTTGTTCTGAAGAGAACATTAAAGATGTGGCTAAAACTTTAATAAAGAAATCATGAATGACTGTGATGAAGTTAATCAGCCATTCCAGCAGAGTCCAGGAATAAAGACAGGATTATGCCAGCAACACTGCCAGTTTTGAACTAAAAGGAACATAGTAAAAAAGACAGAATGAAGGAGGCCTAAATTTGCCTTGTTAGGATTTGGGCTTGTTTGGGACTCCCACCCCTTTATTCTTTTCTATTTTTCTATTTGGAATGGGGATGTTTATCCTATACCTGTTCCACCATTGTATTCTGAAAGCATATAATTTGTCTGACTTCACAGGTTCATATAAAAAGGAAATTTTTCTCAGGAAAGAGTAATACTTTGAGTCTCACCCATATCTGATTTAGATAGTATTTAGATGAGACTCTGAACTTTAGAGTTGCTGCTGGAACAAGTTAATACTTTGGGTATTTGGGTGAAATGAACGTATTTTGTATGTGAGGACATGAATTTTGGGGTGTCAGGGGCAGAATGCTATTGACTGACTTGAGTCTTCTCAAAATTCATATGTTGAAGCCTTAATTTCCCAATGTGGTAGTATGTAGAGTTAGGGACTTTGGAAAGTCATTTGATTTATTATATATGATCCTGAGAGTGGGACTCTCATGATAGGATTATTATCCTCATAAGAGGCAATTCTAGAGACCTTGCTCTCTCTTTCTCTCCAGTATGGGAGAACCCAGCAAGAGGCAGCTGTTTGCAAGCCAAGAAGAAAGCAAGGAGTGGGGTGAGGAGATAGGGAGGATGAGTCTGCATAGGGCAGATCAAGCAGAGGCTGGTGGACTTCAGTAAAGGAGATGATTGCAAGGTTTTGAGCAGGAAAGTGAATGCTCAGATTTACTTGGCTTTTTAAAAGGGTAATGTAAGAGAAAGGTTTGGATTTAGACACGCTTCTTTCCAAAATGCAAAAATAAACAAATATTAAGTTCTAATAAAAATTCCATTAATGAAAACACAGAGGCAAAGTATAAATATTTGGCCAGTTCTCTATATTTGATCTTTTGCCTTGGGAAAAATTCCACAGCGCATTATTTGTAATCGAGTTTTATAAAAATGAACCATGAAATAAAGATATATATTGCTTTGATGAAAAAACTAACCCTTAAAATAGTAGTAGAAAACAACCAAGTCTTTTCTCTTTTGAAAACTAAAAAAAATATGATTGTTATCACTTAATGTAAAAATCTCAATAAAGTAATGTTTCCTAAAAATATAATCTAATTAATTTTTTAAAAATATCATTTCCTCTACCCAGGAACTCTATCATTAATCAAACCCTTACGTATTTCTTTAAAATCCAAATAGGAAGTTGATTGTCTCATCTGTAGAACAAAGACAAGACATCATCCCAAAGGACTAGATCAATTGATTAGATTATGTGAAATATTAAGTTTGATGTAAAAGGAATAACCAAAATATAAAGCAATTATCACACTAGGAAAAAAAAGGTGTGTGTGTGTGTGCATATAAACACAAAGAACTGACAAATGTATTATATAATAATTTTTGTGTTTAGGATTTCTATCTTTTGTAATGTTCAAGATACGCTGTTCACTACTCATTTGAAAATGATGAAATGAGTGTTATTATGGTTCTCTAGGTTTTTGCCCTTACTATTTTTGAGAAAAGATTTGTAATTCCTAGGAAAACTATGTATTATTTATAGCACTCTTGGTCTTGGCAGGCCAAGATTATGGTTCTATGGGATACAGTTTAAGATTCTGTAAATTGTAGGTAACTGACATACCTATGAATTCTGTCTTGTCTGTTAGAGGTTTTAAGTGACTTTCATACTCTTTTTTGTGGAAAATATTTTGATGCCATTTGCATATTCCTAGTCTATACATGTGTCTGTTCCTTAGATTCTTTTTTGAATAGATTACAACATTTTCCTGGTTCCCATGTGAGTTAAATAAAACATTTAAAATGTGTTCATTTTTATATCTGTATAAGAGTAACAATTTATAGCTTTTTATTTAAACACTATTATCTATTCTGTGCCTTATATAATAGGTATGGTATAGGTTATTTGCCTCCAAACTCCCTAAAAGAAACCCTATGTGCAAATGTTTTTGTCATTTGATTCTCCAGGTTTTTATTCTAAAACTTACACTCTATTTCATTATATAGTCTTTGAAATTGTATAATCGCATTTACCTTATTTTCCCAATTATAATGAACTAGGGCAGAAGCTTTGTTTATACATTATTTTCACTCCTTCCTAAAGTTCTTAGTACAAAGAGATTTTGATGGTCGTTCCCTTTGTAGCACTCAGCATAAAAACAATAGAGTAACTGAGGGCAGGCATGAAAAATAAAGGCATCAAAACAGTTTCTTTAGCAACTGGGTTAGGGTGGAATTGTCCATTGATCAAAGAGACACAATTTCACTTTCAGTTTAAATGTATTCCTTCCTAAAGATGAGTAATACTTTCTTCACTGCTCAGATAATTTCTAAGACTTAGCTACTTGGACTGCAACTGCATAGAAGTACTTGAAAATTTGCTTAGAAAGAAAGTTGAAGAACTATGAATAGTAATCAATCATCTATTTTGCATTTCAATGCAGTGATAAGATTTGATATCACTTTGACGACTAACATTCAAGTAAATCGCAGTGTGTGAGAAGCATAGTTTACTAACACTTCAAACTCAAAACAACTCTTTCCCCTCTCTCTTCACTCTTTTTAAACACTAACTTTGTATCCTTATTCTCTCAAATCATGGTTGATCCTCTCATTTTTAAAAAAAAATCTGAATCTTGCCCAGCTGTGAAGTATGTTTCTCTCTTCTTGAAGTTCCTCTCTCTTTCTTTTCTCTATTATCTCTTTATCTTTTCTCTATTTCCTCCCCTTCCACTTTCACTTGTCTCTTTTCTTGCTTATGATCTATATCAAGAATGTGACAAAAAAAAACAAAAAAGGGTGAAAGGTGACCAGCATAAAACAATGGCACATATCAAGCAGTATGTATCAATTATTATACAGCAGTAATAACAATGATTTTATAACTTTTCCATTGGGCAATAAATAGCATACCTGCCAGCACTGTTTTTGTTCATTTGTTTCTCTTTTTACTTCAGTAGTACTGGTGGGGAAAAAAGGGAATGTAATTTAAAAATCCAGTGAGAAAGTAAATACTTCCCATAGAGACCCATTAACCTTGAACTCTTGAGGCTATCCCCTGGCTGTCTTACAGGACAGGACTGGAGCAGGTTTTATATAATGTATTCTTAATTTATATCTCAGTCTTAACTTCTTTCTTACTGACACAGAAATGCACAAATATACTTTAGCTTCTGACTTTTACTTCTGGATCCTTTGTTGATTTAGTCTACTCTTTAAGGACTAGGGGCTCTCTACAGAAAATTATTTACTGCCTCGAATTTGGACATGATAAAGTACATCAACATATCTAGATTCTGCCAAAGTAAACTGTGTTTTTCTCTAATGAAATGAAAAATAAGCTAATAAAAGACAGCCTGGTTCATTCTTATTTAATATTATGAAAGCCTTTAAATTATATTTTATTCACTGAAATTTATAGATCTAAAAAACCTAAGGCCATTTACAAATAACTTACAAATAATTATGTAAACAGTGACTCAATAAACAACTAATTGCCACTCATCACTGCTGTTTAGTAGAATTATGATATAGATAATGCCTGTGGTTTTTGACTATTTTTAAAAATATTGTTAAAAGTAATGCTTAAAAAGTCCAAATGTTCTATTTCCGAACAAATATTGTTAGACAAATCTATTTTCACAATACAAATAACAGGACATATCATCACATCAAAACTATGCTTCTATGATTGATCTTTTATGCATGAGAATGAGAAAAATTGGAATTCTCTCTCTCTCTCTCTCTTCCCACACCACGGTCTTATTTCAGTGATCAGTAAACTAAAGCGTTCAGGATATGACGCTTCTTTGGAATGATAATAAACAAGTAATATTTCAGTTAGTAAATAAGGACATTTACTAAGGTAAAATATAACATATCTAGAAAAGCCTACAAAACAGAAAATTCCTATATGTGCAATATGCAATTTACTAATATTGAGTAACAATATATTCTATAATTTCATAATTAGTACGTTCTATACATACTCCATGGAACAATTAGCCAAGGAGTTGCAATGATGGCAAAATGATAAAATTAATGTCTAAGGCAAGCTTTGTATAAATCTGCATGTGTGCATCTATGTGTATGTGTGTGGGTAGATGCATAGATTGATACATAGGTAGATCTATAGATAGAAAAATTAGAAAAGAGGAGAAAACATACTTCTCTCTAATTAAATGCATAATCATGGATGCTGATCCATGTTACTGATGCTAAATGGTTTTTACTTTAATGAGCCATTTTAAATGAAATGGTTGCCTGCAATTAGACATCTGCAATCCAAGGAAAGCAAGCCAACTCTACTCTAGCTGCCAGAATTACAGTGCATTCCTCAGCAGGACAATGAAGAGAAAGGATAATTGTAATTATAACATATACATCTTTAGTGTTCTGTGGTTGGAAGAGTGTGCAAAACAAGGCTTCTTAATATATTTAGTTGCTGACTGCTAACAAAGAATTGTCAAAAAAAAATTGCTTTTAATACAACTATATTCCATTAACAGTATTGCCAACCAAAGCCATAAGACACCTATTTCAAGGCAGGAAACTGCATAGAATGAAATGGTAAGTGACTCTTACTTTTTATAGCCTCAGTTATTAGTTTGGGGTTGGGCAGGTTATGGTTACCATGTTCCTGATTGGAAGACAAATAAAACATACCTTAAAATATCCAGATAAATATCAACAGAATTACACTTGTCATAGATATTTCAGTCAATTAAGGCAACATGTATATCTTAATAATAACAACACTGAGTGCTTACTCTGTGTATTGTTATCTCCATGTTATAAATTAGATAATCCAGGCTCCAATAAGGTAAGTAACCAAGACTACACAGCTAGTATATGAGTGCCTGTCAGAATTTAAAACCATCTGGTTTTCTTTAGAGCCCATGCTTTCAACCACTCTATTAAGTTAAATAAATAACTAATTTCATTTTCTCTTTTTAAAATAAATGTCACGATGTCAGAGATACAGCTGCAAATTTTGGCTGTGGCACTCTACTGTGATGTGGGTAAGTTGTGTTTTCTCTTGTATCAAACGGAAATGCAAGTATCTACCATGCAGTGTTACTGATAGAATTTAATGACATAACATACATGTTTTATTTAGCACATAGTATATACTCAATGGTTTGATATACTATTGTTACTTAGTTGATGTCAGTTTTCTGACTCAAATTATACCATAGCTGTGATAAGTTAACCAAACTAGTTTCAAATGTCTTCATTTTGCTTCCAAATTAAATACTTGCTATTACCTCAATAAAATAATTATATGTGATAAGTTAACCAAATTATTTCAAATATCTTCATTTTGCTTTCAAATTAGATATTTTTGATTATCTCAATAAAATAATTATATGAATTATTTTAAAATCAATTTTTTCTGCATTTGGACAGGTTCTATTTGGCAATTTATTCATAATCATCTGCACATGAGTCATTCCTTAATTAGGCTTTGATGCATTTAATTAATAAAAATAATTATTTTATCATTTTTTGTGCTAAACATTAGCCTGTGTACAGTTCCCACCGCTAATATATATGCATACATACACATTGCTTCTCATGCACATAGATAACTCTCAATTATATATAGGCTATGTCATTGTATGTGTTTAAGCCCTCATTTCTATAATAGAAGCCGCATGGCCATTTTCCCCTTAACTTCTCACTTCACATTATCACCTCTTCTCTTATGTATTTTGTATTCTGTGCACAGATCAATGGGAAGTGGACTGCACCCTAATTATAGCCACAAGAAAAACCACTGAAACTAAACTTTCAAATAACTCCATTTTTCTCACAGGAAATGTAACAATGAGCCAGAAAATTATTAAAAGATAAAAAGTTGAAAGATAATGTACAACAAGTGATATGCCTATCATGTACTTGTCTGGTGAGCAATGCCAGCTGAGCTGTAGGAAGTTGACCAGCAGCACAGGAGAGCAAGGCCAGGTTGCCCACATGGAGTCTTTGCAGACTTGCTGTCTTGATGAGGTTTCTATGCCCTCCAATAATTTATTGTTTAAAGTACACTCCAGTATCAAGCATCCTGCGCTATTTTCACTAGCTCTGTATTACTGGGGACAGTACTACTTGAAATATGAATTATAGCATCTATTTTCTTCTAATTTTTTGTTCTCCAAAGGGTTGCCTATTTCTGTGTATCAAACATAAGGAGCACATAAATCAGAATTAATAGTCTCATAAGGTTCAATAAACATATCCTGGGAAATTAATGTGTTCACTTGTTAAATATAGCTTATTTCCTGGTATTCAATACATATTTAAGTGATTGTATATATATGAGAATGAATTCATAAAAATAATGTTTACATTTTACCACCACAAAATAATATTTAATCTGAGACATATAAAATGTCAGATACTAAAAACAAAGAGAAAAATGCAAGTTAGGGCAAATATTGTTAAAAATTAATATCTGTAATACTTTCAAACAGGTAGAGAGTTTATGTCTACAGATGTCAGTCAGGCCAACAGCATAATAACTTCAGAATATAGTATCACTTTGTCTGCTTTCATGACTTGATTCCTATGTTGTGGAGATGTTATAAAAAACAAAATGATTAACAAGTACAGGTTTTTATTTAGAAACATAAACTTATTCTTTTGCATTGTCCATGTTGTTTTCAGTTTTTAGCGTGTATAAAAGACACGTAATTTGACCAAACAGAAGATAGTTGTGCATATAAAATGCTAAAAATACATACTGCTCACATAATTTTATAATCTTTTAATATACATTGTTCAAATATGCAATCATTGCTTGGATATTTTTGACAGTATGTTACTTTGGATGTATGTTCTACTTTCTACCTGTCTTCATGTGTAGGTACTCTAATCATCGATATAACTGTCATAGGTTTAGTTCCTATAAAAGCAAGTGATTATAAATGTTTATGCTCATTGCTGTCCCAATTGATTCCTGTTTGTATGCATATCTGAGTTACGAGTTTATTATTAAAACAGAACTAGAAGCAATTCATGAAGACATTATATATTAAGTTCTCTTTAAGCGTTTTAAAATGCACCAGTTAGATTATCAATTCATTTTAGTACCTTTCATTAGCTTCTGGAAAATCACTGCTATAATCTTCTGAATCAACAGACACTATCTTTGCACTAGCAAGTCTTGATTTTCTATTAAACATAGAGGCTAAGCAAGCACAACCACTTTTAATGAGGATTATATCTTTTCTCTGGACACTGTTTGCATAAAGCGTTATCCAACATAGGAAGATTATTCTTCAAATCTCCTATAAAGAGAAAATTACAATTACCTAAGACCTATCTTAGCACTGTTATATATATAAGTGCAGTTTTTAATCTTTATGAGGTTTTAAAAGTCCTGAAAAGTCAATGGCTGTATTTAAAATTAATTGTTTGACTTTAAGATTTAGATATTTTTATTAATTAAATTTATAGAAAAAAATTGTTATAAACTAATCTCAATGAAAACTTTATGCAATCATCATGTAATTTACATTATGAAAAGCAAAAGAAAAATTCCCTTCTTTAAGGATGTATGGAATAAATATTCATTTTCCTTGTTGGGTCAAACATTCAGGTGAACACAATATGTCATTTGAAAAACATCAGAGTTAACGACAGTCTTTGGACTGTCAGTGACCAGTACAAAATGATACTCTCTTGAATTCTGTCCAGAAACCTGGAAGCCTACAGATATTGAAGATTAAAATTGTACACTTAATCTTAGCATAGCTAAGGTAAACATGTATTTAAGTCAAAACTAATCAGTGAGCCATTCTTATGGTGATGCTACCTGTAACATAAAAATATTACATCTTTTCTGAGATGATTTACTCAAGAACATAAAAGAAAAATGTCTTCTATACAAAAAACAGTGAAAAATACTAAATCAATGTGTCTATTGTCCCACAGATATACAAGGCAAATACAGATGGTTAAATTATCGTTTCCTGAGAAATTTCCTAAACATTTGAATAATATCTTCTTCTACTATAAGACAATGTGAATTCAGATTCAGTGGAGGTAGTTTAGAGAAGATACTTCAGAAATTACAATAGAGAGGACTCTATAATTAACATTTTTGGAATCCCACAGAACTAAGATCACATAGCCTTCAAAATATATCGCAATCAATTACTAAAATGTTTTCCCAATGGTGTTGCTCTTGGGAAATCCAACTTTTTGGTAAAAGGTACAAGAACTAGGGAAAGAAATCAATAGCTGCAAAAGTTCACTTTGAAGGAACAGATTTGCTGAGTATAAGGGCAGCCACTTAATATATGAATGATTATTACCCGTGTAAAGCCATAAGCCCGGATCACTGTGGCAAAGTAACTAGTAGATTTATTGAATTCACAAAGTAAAAGAAAATAAAACTTTTATGAGAGTTTAATGTTGGAGGCAATGGGAACATAGCAGACACACTAACTTACAGAGAGCAATAAAGTGAAAAAGAGACAGAAAAGGCAGGTTCAGGTCACAGGAGTCCTTCAGTGAGATACCCATGGGGTAAGGAAATGTTAAACAGAGTGGAGAGAAGATGGAAAATGCTCATCATTTCAGCCCTCAAACCTCCTATTTCTCAGAACTCTTAGATTTTTCAGGCATATCACTTATTCTGTCACTGAATTAGGTGTTGTCTTAATCATTTAAAGTATTTATTCTCTCCCCAACCAGATACCAATTTCTAAATATTGGAATTGTGTCTGGACCATCTTTCATTAATGCCTCCTCACCTACCCAAATGCTCTTATGCACAGTTGATGAATCCCATAAATCTATTTTAAATAGTGAATAAAGACTGTACATAGGTGTCTATCAATAGTGGATGGAGTAAACAAAATGTGTTACATGTACACCATGGAATCCTAGATAGCCATGAAAAAGGACAAAATCATGTCCTTTGGAGCAACAGGATGCAGCTAGAGGTCATTATCCTAAGCAAATTTACTCAAAAACAGAAAACCGAGTACCACATGTTCTCACTTATAAGTGGGAGTTAAGCATTGGGTACACGTGGGCATAAAAATGGGCACGATCGATACAGGAAACTACCAGAAGGGGAAGAGAGGGAGGGACACAAGGGCTGAAAAACTACCTATTGGATACTATGTTTACTATCTGGGTGATGGGATAACGTAAACTCCACACCTTAGCATCACACAATATTCCCATATAACAAACCTGTCCATGTACCCCCTGAATCTAAAATAAAAGTTAAATTTTTTTTTTTATAAAGACTATACCTAAGGCAAGGGTGGACATATAACTTATCATTCAAACTGAGGTATTTTGAAAAGTGAAAGAGGGTATTATTAACTACTACCCTATGACAACCAGAAATGTCCAGGGCAAAACAGAACATATGATCTTCAACCTAAGATAAATATGGCTAGTCTACAACTTTCTTGAGAGAAGAGAAATTTCATAGAGTACATAAAATATACCACTGGTTATACAAATATATCTGTAACACTACACAATCTAAAATAAGAAAAAGATAACAAGAAGAGGTAAAGCAGAAAGGGTTTATCCCAACATATGTTAACATTATCTTTGAGAATTTCCTCCATAAGACATGACAATCAGTTAGAAAGAGAGAAATCTAAATTCTCCACTAGCTGTCTTATGTTGCCCAACAGTGAAGTCATATTTTGAATGTGTATCTATTTAGTCTTTATTATATAGATGCTATTAGCCTTCAAACATGTTTTATTAGACTTCACTTACTATTTATTCATTAACCAGTTTAGTTGTTAGATTCTTCAGCTGTGAAAAGAAGGGATTAACTAACTGATCAATAAGGTTCCTTCCAATCCTAAAATTATAGTCCTATAATTATAGGTATTGCAGTGTAGTGCAAAATGTATCTTACAGCCATGGAGGAAGGCAGCTGAAAGGTATTTCTCAGATAAACATATGTTCCAGTTTCTAGTAATTGGCTGACTCAAAAAATGTTGCAAGGTATTTTGCAATCTACTATTATTTTTGAGATTTCTAATTTTCTTTTATTTTTAAATCTTAGATGCTACAGTGGAAAACTTGTCATTTTGCCACTATGACTCATAGTTGTACAATGTCTATAATGGAATGGATAAACACTGTCTTTTAGTTGTCCATATATGAACATTTTACTTTTGCAGTTTATATAGATTTATTTTTTGTGAAACACTATGCCTGGAGAAAAAAAAGATAAATCTTTGACATGAGTCACTTTTTATCAACCCTGGCCATGGAGAAATTACTTGTTATCCTTTGCATTTGAAGACGACAATACTGACTCACTCAAAGTAGTGCATATGCTTTGAATTCTTTTTTCTAAAAGTGAGCATGGACTCTAACTACTCATTCTTTCTGTCTCACCTACTCCAGGCATGACTAAGCACAACTTTCTATAAGATGTCTGGTATCAGAATGCAATTTCTAAATATGATGTTTTTAAAATGGGCAGATGTATCCCTGATAAGAAGGATTGGACCCTTAAAAGGACTGGCAGTAAAAATGACAGCATCCTCTCCCAGATTATTCCATGCTGATCACATCTTAAATCCTTTGCTTTTGCATCTTATTTGTTTCTTCTGTCAGCTTTGGCCCCAGACTTCCTTGGATTCTGACTCTGGTTCCACCATCTTACATATTTCCTTAGACTAGGAATTAGACATTTATCTCCTCCCCACCATCTCATAATATTTTATTCCTTTGGTCCTCATCTTGCCTAACAAAAACACATTTCAAAACTGGGTTTCACAGTTGGCATCCATCCCTCTTTGTATACAGTCCAGATACACTGTCTGGTTGAGAAGAAGGTGAAGCCTTATAAAATGGAACTAAAATGTAGTTTGAATCACTAATCTTGTGCTCATTAACACCATATATAAATTCCTGAGCTATGAGTTGTTATCAGATCTATTTACCGTATTTATACAAACAACCTCAATAGTAGTAAAAATTGTGAAAGACGTAAGTATAAACACAATTAGATCATGTAGATTCAAATGCACAGGTATTACTTGGATCTGAAAGTCAAAGGAAGATAAAGCCATCATAATTAGTACAATTCAATATAGCACTATAAGGTCAAATTACAGAAATTTTTTTGTTGTTGTTTGTTTGTTTTTAATGGACTACCTAATAGAAAGATTTAGTAGATATCAGTTCTAGCCTACTCCTGGTATAAGTAACCAATAAAATCTTTAGGTAATTACTAATCTCTTCATACCATAATTTTTCTCTCTTGAAAAGAAGAATATTGCTAATCACTATAAATCTTTCAGAAATGTTCAGGATGTAGTTGTGAATAATAACAATTATAAAACCACCATATGTAGTTCTCACTACTAGTATATTTAATGAAGTAGAAACATCACTTCATTACTCCTTCCCCCTTTAATGAGGTTATTAAAGCACAAATGGATTAAAGTATTTTTAGAGTTGACATAGATTTAACTTTCTTACAAAAATAAATCGGAAAAAAAGGCCTAAGTGAAAATATTGAGTTCCTTGAAAAGCATGAAACATATTGAAATTAAGAAGTAATTTCTTTTTTTTGTGAGAAGTAATTTCTTAAAGGCAAGTAAAATAAATGATATATACATGTAGTGAATTAAATAATATATGTGTTCCATGTAAGTATGTCAGAATTCCATAGGGTTAAGAAAAGTCAAAGGCATGAAATGCAAACAACAGAAAGACCAGAGAAAGTGGTATAGTTTTAAAAGAGGTAATAAAGAAAAATGAAATGTAGAACAACTTATTAAAGAAGAGAATATGCAGTAAAAATAAAAACATATTTATTATTTATTTATGTATTTTTCAGACAAGATCTTACTCTGTTGCCCAGGCTGCAGGGTGCACTTGGAGTGCACTGCAGGGTATTATGTATCCCTGGAGTGCAGGGGTACAATCATGGCTCATTGTAGCCTCTACCTCCCTGGGCTCAGGTGATCCTCCCATCTCAGCCTCCCAAGTAGCTGGGACTACAGGAACACACCACCACTCCCAGCTAATTTTTATTTTTATTTTTGTAGAGAACAGAGTCTCTCTATGTTGCCCAGTCTGGTTTCGAACTCCTGGGTTCAAGTGATCTGCCCATCTCGGCCTCCCAAAATGTTGGGATTGCAGGCTGAGTCACCCTACCTTGCTGAATACATTTTTATAGTTTACTTGCATGCTATTTGTTGCTGTAAAAACTGCCTTTTAGAATAGAAAAGAGACATCCACAAGTTCTGACAGCAAAAAGTGAAGCAACAATCAATAAACTAAACTGTCCTGAGTACCTATAGAAGAAGCTGCCTGATTAAAGGAATTGTAAAAATTATTAAAAATTTATCATTCTAAAAAACAAATGGACATATTAGATAGAACCACCTATCTGAATGGTTACATCCATACATTCAGTGTTGCTATGCTTAATCGCCAGCTTGCTTAATGATCAATCTCCCAAAACTTGGCATGAACTGTATTTTTAAGATGAAGGAACCTAGACATCAAAATAATGCATATCTGGCATAAAAAATGCAAATGCTAAGATTCTGGCCATAAAAATTTACAGTATTGTCTGAAAATAATTCTGAAAACAAAAAATTTCATCCAGCAATAAAATAAAGGTGAAGTACAGTTTTGCATTTTATTTTATTTTTTTAGTAGTTTGCAAATAAGTGAGTTTAACTAAAACTTTTTTTTTCCTTCTAGGACCTTTTAAATTTGTTTTACTGTAAGACTATTTGAAAATTGATATTTCCATACCTAAGCAAATCTTGGATGACTGAATCATTATTTGTCTTATTTTCAAAAGTACATAAAAATAGATGTGGTATGACAGAAAATGATGTTAGTAAATAAAGACAAATAGTCCAGAATGGACCAAGGTACTTTCAAGACCTATGGCAGAAATACCAGGAATTATTAATAGACAATACTACACTTACACATTTTAATTTAAATCTAAATTAATCAAAATTCTGTTTGATGAATATTTAAGAAGAAACAAATTAACTGCTATGCTTAAACAAATGGTGAAATGAGATAAGCATATTCAACATATATGGTATGAGAATATAGAACACATAAAAGATAAAGAAGAGAAAAAATAATTAATGGGAAAATGTTTTAAATGGTAAAAGTATATTGGCTATTTTATATCCAAATCACAGTTTGAACGGACAAACACATTTTTTATTTTTTTCTGACAGTGTGGGCTGGGTCTGTCTCATAATCATGTTGGATATACATTCAAAATGCAGTACCCTTTTTTGTAAGTTTGATACAGCTCCCTAGAGGATGAGTGACACAAACGAGGGGGTGCAGGGGAGAAAGAAAAAAAAACGAAATCATCCTGAACTACAATGAACATTCAATAAACACAAAAATAAGTATCTTTTTTTCTTAAAATGAATGAGTGAATCAATTGCATTTTTCTTTAATGCAATACTTGGTGTTTTTTCTCTCCTTTTCTCTTTCTCTCTCATCTTTTTTCTCTCTCTTTCTTTTTGAAAGAAAATGTATGACCTAAAAAATCTCAGAATACCTTGTGCTTCTTTGTGAAATGAAAATAAAGAGCAGCACCATCACCACAGTGGCTGTAGGAGGAGAGTCAATGGACTATTAAATGGGAAATCATCTGTTTTCAGATTTTACTTTGCCACCATTACTTCCCTCCAGTGAGCTGTTATCTGGCAGAGGGGGCCTTAATCGCCTCCTATGCTGGCAGAAAACCTTCATGCATTTAGCACAGCTATTCATATAATGTGCAATCACCTCCACACAAAAATTCCAAATAAAATATATGTTTTCCCAGCACAGCAGTGCCATTAGTGCATCTAACTGCCCACTGAACTCCAAAGTCCTAATGTTATTATATTCCAGCTTGTTGAAGGCTCATTATTTTATCTGAGCCTATTTGATGGTTCACAGATACTTAGTTAATTTTCCCTTTTTTTCTTTCTCCCATTGGGTGTTAGTCCCTTGGTGTAAGACATACAGAGACATAAGTAAATGACATAAAATCAAATATTACCACTAAGTCATGTATATAGTTTGGCTAGCAGTGAAAGTATATTTTGTTAACAACTCCTCTGCTCTAGCTGCTGTATAGTTAATGGTGAGAGAATATGAAAGCAAAACAGCAACCAATGGGCCTGCAGAAAATGTGCTTGCTACTTTCCCCAAACAGCTGCTATTTGATTCAGGAAATCTGCCATGCAACAAATTAAAAATGCCTAGGACAATTATGTATTCATCAAAAAAAAAAAAAAAAAAAAAAAAAAAAAAAAAAAAAACCCTTGCAGCCTGTTGCACATTTCAGAAAATACATTTAAATGGCTTCTTTATATTCAAATTTAAAACATCATATATATTGTTCTTTGAAAGTAGAGTAAGAAAACCTTGGATTTGAGAAAGAGAAGATGGAAATATTGAGATAAATATATGCTTTATATATCCTTAGGTTTATATTCTGCTTAATAATTGCAGAAACTTTTCTCCATTTGTATTTTCTTTACAGACACAATTGTGTTATTAGATAAATTGCACAATAAAGTGATGACTATTCAGAGCATGAAGATACCAAGTCAAGGTTGAAACCCTTGCTTGGTTGAGGATCACATGTCAGATTTGGTATCAAATCTTCACCTCTAAGAACACAACAGGACAAACCCAAGTGACCTCTCTGGGCCTCAGTGTCTTCCTGTAAGAATAAAGGTGGTGAACTGTTTGATATCAAAGGCCCTCACCTGTTACAAAAAAGTAGAATCCTTGACATATTGGCAGCATGATCTCTCGAAGATTTTTCACAATACACTGGAAGGGACACAGTCTAGATAATGGAGGGATGATGGTGGTTGGGAATATGGAATTTATAATCTTTTAATCTTTTCTCCTTCAAAAGAATATTGTAGCTTGGAGGCAATTTATAGTACTTGCATACTTCTTCAATTACTCTTGGGATATCAGTATTCAGTAACAGTAAAAAGATTTTTTGTATACAAATTAAGATCTGAATGTCTGACCTTTTCTCTGATATGTGATATTTGTCACTTTTTCCATAGAAGTGTTTATAATAAAATGGTTCTTATAATTTACATCATAATTTGTATCTGGCACCCAATGGTTTTCTAGTTATTTTTTGCTACAAAGATTCTCCCTTCTCCAATGTGTTATAATCTCCTGGAAAACAGCCAATATGATTTCTCTTTATTTTTCTTAAAGGGCAACTAGAATAAGATAAGTGAAATTGCCAACAGCAGAGTTGATCCTTCCTAAGGTATTCAATTAGCATCAGTTTTCAATTATTTTTTATTACATTTTAATGAATAAAATATAAAAATAAACATTGTAAATCCAAAAAATAATTTGGTGGTATAGACAAGAGTATAATACCTGGCAAAGAAACATAGGTAGAAGGGTAAATAATATTTTATTATTAAATATGTTTTCATTATTAAGAAGAATGGCTAATATAACTTAATATGGCATTGTGTAACTTATAGGAACTAGCTATTTATGGACCTGGGTAGTATAATTTAATAAAGACTAAAGGCTTTCCCCAAGCACATACAACTAAACTGCTTACATACAGACATTTTGTTAAATTCATAAAAACAGATTGCTAGAGGATAAAGATTTAATATATTATTGTGAATCTCAGTTGCCATATTTTCAATGAAAAATTTAAATTGACACCTTTTACTTCAGGTAGTTACATGTTCAATTCAGTACATATTCAGTACCGAATTACTATTCACTGGCAATAATTAAAGATAACATTCAGGCAACTGCTTCAGTCCTATTATGGAAGAAGCTAGTACATACATGTCTTGCCCCTAATTCCACTAAATATATATAATGGCAAAGCCATATCTTAATTCCTATTGCAACAAGTGACTCTTTCCTAAGGAAAATTCTTGTAACATACTCAAGGAATTAATTTCTTCCCAATTAAGAGAATGTCCTGTAAATTCTAGATACAACAAAAATTAGTAGTTTAGGCTTGAATATATCCATTTTTGATAAATATATTGTCAGCGTTAACACCGATGTCTGAGAGAAATCAGAACTTTCTTAAAGTTTTATTTTACTTTAAAAAAAAGTGTTATTATTGGAGAAAGAATGAAAGATGAAAGGCAGTTTACTTTCTCCTGAAGGTTTGTCAGTCATTATACTTAAATTTTTTCATCCAACCCCCTTCGTTTTTTCTCTGCTTTCATTGTTTGCTCCTACTCTTGACTCCTTTTTATATACCTCATTTACAAGGCTTGCTAAACCAGAAACACCCCCAGAACAAATCCAAACACTTTCCATTCTTCTTTCAGAAATCCATTTCCTTCACAAAGCTACTTAATTAGATGGAAGTAAAGTGCTAATTTGCTAAGGGGAAAAGATCATTTGCATATCAATTTACACACTTTTCTCCAAGTATTTGTAATTAGAGAGCAATCAACAAGCTTTTGAAGGCTGATAGAAAAGGGGAAATGATTCCTGTGGAGATTAAGGAAGCAATAAAGTATGTAGAGGAATGGGCACTGGAAGAGGAGCCAGATGGCCTCAGGTTGAGCAATTAATTTAACCTTTTGGAATCTCAGGTTTTTAGCTATAAAATGGGAATATGCTTACTTTAAACCTTTTGTTGTGGTTGTGGTTGTTATTTGTTTTGTTTTGCTTTGTTTTATTATTATTCTTTAAGTTCTTGGGTACGTGTGCACAACATGCAGGTTTGTTACATATGTATACATGTGCCATGTTGGTGTGCTGCACCCATTAACTGGTCATTTACATTAGGTATTTCACCTAATGCTATCCCTCCCCCCTCCCCCCACCCCAGGACAGGAGGCTCTGAAGATTAAGCTCAACACCTATAAGGGCCCAGTACAAAAGCATTGTCTCTCCATAGGTTGTCAGTGGAGTCCATAAGAAACTATTCTTTTAACCTGTTTAACTCATGTACTTTTCTGTATAAACAGGAAACAGTATAGCTACTCCAGGATGGTTGGAAATTTAAACAAGACTAAATATTTAAAATATCTGACACTAAGGAATTCATAGATAGTATTTACAATTACTATTTTAGTTCCAGATTTTATTTATTGCCTTCTTTCATTATAGTATACCTTTCCTCTTCATTAGATTCCACCAATTAACCTAACTATATTTATTATTTATTATCACAGGCCCTCAGATTTCCCCTTTTCCCTTTGACTATTAATTGATTATTAATTAAACACCATTCAGAGATGGAGAAATATGGTCTGAAAGAACATAAGAAGTTATCTGGACACTAATTTCCACAGTATTTTATGAAGCTTTAGGTTTATTCATAGACGCTCAGGAGCTAACATAGGAAGGTAGAAAATGTAGAAACAGGAAAAGGAAGATAGAAGGGGAAGCAGGTAGAAGGTGGAAGTGGAGGAAGCTATAGGATGAAGGAGGTTGAATTTCAAGATTTCTTTCAGCATTTCCAACAATGACACTGTGTTTTTGTCTCTTGACTAACAGAGTTTTGTTAAAACACAAACAACATATTTAGGCCAAACATTATCCTGTATTTAGAAAATATAGGGTCAGTGATGACTTGTTTAGAATACGAAGCAGGTTTATAAACTAAACTGGAGTTAGAACCAAAATATCAGGGTTCTCTTGCTGTGATTCTTCCATATTAAATCACGGTCATTTATTTCCAAACTTCTTCCACTTTCCTTCCTTCACTTGCAACTCTGCTGATTTGTCAGGAACATCAGAAATAATTCTTTTTCATAACATGGGATTAATGAAGACTGCCATAAAAACTCCCACATACCTAGAACATTTATGGGCCGTTGTTTGGACTATATTATATTCTTGGTATAGTTAAAGATGTTGGTTTGATCTTTAAGTCCCTAGACGTAGACCAAACTAAAATACTGACAGTTTATGTGTCTGTGCTGTTATGTGTCCCCATGACTTTGGATAAGCCAGTTTCTTTCCCTACAACACTCCCCATTAGTCTTGTCTTTCTTTCCTCCTGTCTGCCAGGGAACTCTTCATCTTCCAAGTCTCAGGTTAGCCTCAAGTCCTCTTTGACTTGCTTCAGTTCAGGTGGGGGATCTGTCCCTATCATGTCCTGTATCTAGGTAAGCACTTAGCATCCTGAATGACATTATTTGTCTTCAGGACTGTTTATGTGGGGTCATAGCACCCAGAAAAACATTACATTATTTTATCTTGAATTAGCCTGTGCCTACCAAAAAGGTGAGCAAATATAAACATTTTAATGACGTTTCTGAACTTAAACAAATTGAGAAGAAACTTTATAATCTTTATGAACATTTCTAAATTTTACTTATAACACTTCAGGCAAAGCCTATATTTTTTTTTGTGGTATTTTATATGGTTCCTTTTCTGATCCTGGAAATAAATTGTAAAACGTTTGTATATGAAATAATATTAGAGTTAATATTGAAGCTATTCAAATTCTCTCTTAATATTAATTTTACTCACATTTTATAAGAGTGTATTTGTTTATATTATAATTATCATTTAAACTGGAAAAATGCTTCAGATTTTTAGTGTATTCAATATCATAATAATTTGTTTGCATTATAGACTTTAAAAAAATTAATTCCTCTGATTTGAAATTCAAAGTAACAATAATTTCTAAGAATTTTAACTGCAAAGGTAAGCCACATTAAAAACAAAAATAAGGAAAACAGCTACAAAGCACAGGACTTGTGACAAAGAGAAAGGAATTAAGAAGCGAAATGATAAAAGTGAAGTTAGACATTGTTTGTGATAAAACTTACATGAGAACGTGAGAACAAGTGCTTTATCTAAAGCAAACCAGCAGTTGTGTGTGAACATCTCTAAAGTGAGCCTCCAGGGAGAAAAATCCAGTGGATAATTCAGAAGATAATATTTTAAAAGTTGATACCAGAATTTTAAAAGAATTTATCTGGAATACAACATTAAAGTCTATTTTTTTTAAGCTCAAAAGTGGTAACTGAATAATCCTCTTAGAGAAAGAGATGTAAAGTAAGATACATCAATATATTTGAAGCATGGCAGTCCAGGAATCTAAAAACATACTCATTTCTGGTTGCTCATGGCCCATCAAATAAAAGATCACAAAAGTCTTGTGGAAAGTGTTTCCAACAGGTATTGTAAGACTTAACTCATTAATTCATTTTAGTTTTGAACATATGATTTACATTTTAATTTTGGAAGTATGTCTTTTTGGTTCTCCTGACAAAAAAAAGAACTTTACAAATGCTAACGTGCTTGATCAGCTCTGGAGAAGCACTCTGGTAGCCTACCTCTATTCTGTATGACCCCTGCAAATAATAAATGCATATGTTACTCTAAAATATACATTTCTTTGCATTTTAATATAAGAAAGAAAGGTGGATCTTTATTTTACTAAAAAGAAAGCATATTTTGAAAGCAACACATTTTACCTGACAATTTAAATAAAAAGTGTTCTAATTTTAACTTACTCTAATATGAAGGAAAGAAAGCAATTCTTAATTCAAGCGTAGGGTGAAAACACAGTGTATACTTCACTTTTATCCCATTTTCATATTTTATAGAATAGAAGATGATAAGGCAAAGGATGCTAGGTTGTTCTTTTTGCTTCAGTATAGAGATATGTTTAAAAATACTACTGTTAGAAGGTTCACCTTTCTGTCACAAATGTAATTATAAATTTGACTATTTCTATCCAAATCATTATAAAAAATGTTTAAAAGTCCTGATTACCAAAGAGAGTTTAAACATTAATACAGAAGCTAGCAAGAAACAGTTGTTTGTCATGCAGACTTAGACTGAGCTGGAATGGAAATGTCAAAGTAGCTTCTTCAATAAAGAGAAACTGATTTATCATAGTCTTTTGCTGAATATCTTATTTTGCTTAATAGACCACATGCTTGAAGATAATAAAGCCCACCTTGAATCTTTTCTTTGATAAACATATTTCTTCAGTAATATCCATTTTTTTAATGAAACAGAACTAATGAATGACATTAGGTCATAAACAAATAATGACTTTCAGTCTTCACGAACCGAATTACCTGAAGAAAATTAGCATTCAGGATGACCAAGAAAGCCATAGTACTGTTTAACAAGTCCTTAAGGAAACCGAATTCACATGAGTTATAAAATTTAAAAAAGAAAAGGTCAGGAGGTTTTTTCATGCATACAAATCAGTAATGATGACAGATACCATGCCTCTAAGTTTATTAATGGTATAATTTTTTAAAATAATAAATGGTTTCCACAAACTAAAAGACAGTGGATGCTGGCCTTTCGTCATAGTCCCATTGGTTTGCTGACAGCCTGCCCTCCTACGCTTTGAAAGAGGTACTGCTTCCAGCTATTCTCTTATTCTTTATTCTTTGTGACAAGTCTACATTGTAAAATGAAAAATTAGAGTTTTTTTCTGATCTTTACCAAACATATTTGAGGTATGTTTTTGTCTGTACACTCAATCCAATACTGGTAGGGAGATAGGCCTAACCTTTTGAAGAGCTCTACTTTTTATGAGGAAGCATGTAAAATATTTGAGGAAGAAGAGTCATGATTATGTGATTGTGCCTTTGTGTGGAATTTAAAGCCTACAAGAGCTTCTTGCCTAAAGTCCAATTGGAAACTGTAAATAAGATCTAAACAGTATTCTGTTGAACAATGATTTGAGCAAGAATTTTCTAGTCAGATAATGATACTGGATGCATTTGAGAATGCTGTATCCCTCAATGGTGATAAAAGTAGAAATTCAGCTCTGATATCTTCTTTCTCATAAGCACTTTGCCACTTTAATGCAGTATTTGGATAGTTTTAAATCTTTATCTGTAACAAAAATCAATACCTTATTAGAAAAAAATAAAATACGTATTGCATAGTTCACTCTTTGGAGTCTGGCTTTCTCAGACTCATACATGTATAAATACACTAATGAATATTCGACATTTTATGACAAAGTTAATATTTTTTATTGCAGTCCACCTTAGTAAGTAGTTCACACCTATTGCCTGTAAGAAAAAAAACTGAGGAAATATATAATGATGTTTGAAATCGTGCTTCTCCAATTCCAATGGGCATATAAATCACTGAGGATCTTGTTAGAAGGCAAACTGATTCAGTAAGTATGGGCTAGAGCCTGAGATTCTGTATTTCTGCATGGATGTTGATGCTGCTGCTCAGTGGACCACACACAGGGTAGCAAGGTTCTAAAAGATAGCAGTCAGCTATGATCCTATGGCCCAAAAAGGGAACTTTAGTGTGTTGAGGAGCTAAATATAAAATTTTCTATGATTGGTTCCATTCAATTTCAAATATCTTTTAAATTATAATTAAAAGTTCTAATTTCAGCTTGGTTGCAAATTTACTCAATCATTTGGGGTAAGTAATTTGACCCATAGGTAGGGGATCTTTTATAGTTTCTATTTTACCAGTTGAAGGAAGTTTGAAGTACAAAATAAATACAATCTTTAAATCAATTGTTATAGGAATATTGATAGAAACAGCTACAATAAGAACCTTTTCTAAATGTCACGTATAATGCCACAGTCTACTATTTTTGAGGAAAAAAATGTTATTTACTGGCTTTCATTATGTAACATTTTGGCCAATTGTAGCTGATTTGTGTGCCCAGAATACATGAAAATGCCACTACATGTTTTTAGTTATGATACTTTCAGTTTAGACCTTAACAGAATTTTCTACTATCTTGATTTATCTGTCATAACACACTTCCTCTTTTGATCTTACATGTATGTCAATAGCACTCTGTGACATTTAAATTCTCATCACAGCATTAAAAACATTTTATTTCAATGCTTTGCTTCAGAGGGTTTGGATATAAGGTCACTTGTTTCCCAAGGAAGTAAAGTATAAGTAAGAACAAAGCTATTTAAACTCAATCATCCTCTTTAATACGAAGTATTGCATTATAGAGTTTATTAATAGTTAATATTACTACTATATATTTAGAGAGATCATATGTAAGTATATGGTCATGAATATTACTCTTCAGATTTTATATTAAAATCATGAATTTTTGTATCTCAAATTATGGAATCAAATTTAGAATACAGATGAAGAGTAAACTTAGAATATTTTTAAAATATTATTTTGTGGGCATTTCTATATATTTGGCAACATATTTACTATACAGTCAGTGAATTTCATCATTACATTGCATTTGTTTTAAATAATGTTTTTAAGTATTTCTAATTTTAGTCATAAACATTCAGAGTTTATCTTCTAAAATTTAGCAGCCAATTAAGTTACCAATGTAAAAAACAGTAAATGTTAATTGGGATAGAGGGGTGCAATAACAAAAGCCAACACAGAAAAGGTGTTTTTCCCTTGTGAACTTCCATGGAATCTTAATGCGACACTCATCAAGGGAGAAGTGGCTATTTTAGGGTATCCACACAGCCACTTCAGCAAGGTTTCATCCACTGAATAACAACTTCAATGCTACTAATACTGCAGATAGGTGCCAAAGTCAACCAAAATAAAAATAATCTGAGTAAAACAAGATAGCTCTTCATAAAAATTATCTTAAGGCTTATAAACCAGATATGAACATACTTATTTAAATAACTTTTCCCCTTTTTATCTCAATTTCCCTCACTTTTTCCACAGAAAATATAATAATATTTCCACCCTGGTGCTTCAACAAAGCATGGTGCTGAGCATGAGGACGTCTTGTGACCCCAGGTGAAGACAGCCTACGCGGAAAGGAAGGAAACTGTAGGATTGAAACAGTGGATGAGCTACAGGAGTGGCTATGAACAACCCTCAGTGATAATACTCTCTTGCTTACAGCCAGCCCCAAATAAACAAACCTTTAGTTATTATAAAGTGTTTTGTTTTTATCTTTAGATTAAATATGACAAAAATATTTACAAAAGAGAGAATAGAGGTTTCAAAGTCCCACCACTCTTGATTCAAACTAAAATTTCTGCAACTGAAAACATTTTACATATATTTAACGCTAGATGTTTCCAAAATACTTGCATAAACATGGTCACATTTGATCTTCACAATCACCTTTTGAGGTATACTTCAAAGCCCATTTGACTGATGAGAACACAGAAGTTCAACTCACCATTCCAAAGGCCCACAGCCAGTAAGCAGCAAAGCCACAACTAGAATGCAGGCTTCTGACTGCCAATCCCCTGTTCTTCCATCTCACCTTTACTGCCTTACACTCTACAACTGCCTTGTCATCACAGGAGATGACATTTACAATGCATTCTATTTGAAAAGAACTCCACAATGAGGAACATCAGAGGGCTCTTCTTGTACTTAAAACATAGTAAATGTAATTCTGATCAAATCAACCTAAGACCAAGTATCTCTAACAGTGGCATTGATCAATGTTTTGTAGGAGTATTTGCCTCTTATGATATAATTCCCAGAGTTAATAATAAACTCAGAACATCCTTGAATTGACACTGTCAGAAAGCTATTTTCCATCTAGACCAACTGCGTATTTCAGCAGCACGGCAAACCCCTATGAGAGAAAGGCTGAACGTTAATGGCAAGAATTCTCAGGCTTCTATCTCATAGAAATGGTAGATGATTCTGTGCCATCCTAGGTCTATGCCAAACCCTGAAGCTGAGAGATAAGAGGTTAGCCAGAAAATAGAAACATATGATTTGAACCCTGCAATCCAGATACTGCTATAGCCATAAACTTAAATACCTACCCCGCGCAAAGCCCAGTTATTTGGCTGGGAGGATGACACCTATCTATTTCTTTAATGGAAGATTCTTTTCCTTCCATTTTAAAGCATTTTTTTTCTATATTAACTAGAGAATAGCTGCTTAAATCCTTTTATAAAACAAAGTAAAGGATAACAGGTAAGTATGTTGGTAAATAGACAAACATGCATATATATGACAAATGTGAAACTTCTCTGCCTTTTATCTAATGAGATTCATTTAGTTTTAAATGTATTAGGTATCTTTGTAATTTTACTTTTCTAATAGACAGAGTAATAAAGTAGTGAGAATGCTCAATTTGGTGACTATGAGGGTAAAGAAGCACTCTAAAATGTTAGAGGTGGGTTTTAGTTTTCCTGGACTGCCTTAACAAATTACTACAAACTAGGATGGCTTAAAACACAGACATTTATTTTCTCAGGTCTGGAGGCAAGAAGTCCAAACTAAGGTTCCTGCAGGGCCACGGTCTATCTGTTTTATATCTTTCTCATAGTTTCTGGTGTTTTGCCAGCTACTACTCATTGGCTTGCAGTGAAAATGGAATCTCTGCCTCCATTTTACCTTGTGTTCTCCCTGTTTGTCTGTTCTTCACAGGGTGCTCTCCTTGTGTGTGTGCCTGTGTTCCAATTTCCCTCTTCTGTTTTAAAAATTATTTTTAAATTATCGTTAATATTTATTTTTAAATTTTAAATTGACTAACTATGGTGGTCAATATATTTATGGGGTACAAAGTAATGTAATAATATATACAAGGAAATCAATTATATTGGATTAGGGCCGACCCTAATGAGCTGATCTTGACATGATTACATCTTCAAAGACCCTATTTCCAATTGAAATCACATTCATAGGTACCTGGGGGTAAGGATTTCAACATATCTTTGTTGGTGACATAATTCAACCTATAGCAGAGGAAAAACTGGAAAACTGTTAGACAAGGTTTGAATAGCCATTTGAAAATATATGTCAAAAATTAAAATATGTAGAAATTTTGATCAAGTGTACCCTTGCTAAGAATCTATCCTAAGAAAATATAAATACTCTTATGGAGATTCATATATATAAAAACAGATTCTTCTTAAAATTGTTTATTAAGTAACGGAAGACAATCAACATATTTATCAGTAAATTAGCATATGCCCATATATTGTAGTAATTTTAAAAGAAGGTAAATTTTAAAGAGTGACAATGGGCATGAAATTAAATTTATGTAAAAATGTATGTGTAGATGGATTTACTCACTAAAAATTATGAAAAAATATATATCAAACCACTAACAGAAGTATCTTTGAAGAGTTATATTATCATCATCCAACTTTATATATTTTATTAAAATAATAATGTAGTATCACAAAAAGCAACTAAGATAATTTTAAATATATAAAGTAAGAAATGTTGAATAATGCTGATTTCCATTTCTTTAAACAATGGAATTCTTCAGAGAAGTTTTTATTCTCTTTTAAACATTCTGTATCTCAAGTTGAGCTCTATATTGTAGAGTTTATGGTGTAGTCTATTAAGGAATTTAATAGTGTTAAATACGGAATAAAAGATTCCATCTACTAAGAAAAATTCCACAGCTGCTATCCAGTTGTATTTTGGGACTTGTTTATTTTTTCATTCATTTATTTTGTCTGTAACATTTATTTACTGTTGTATCCCCAATGCCCAGAAAAGCAATTGGGAACCATATATTATTTTTGCTTAAGGAGTGAATGAATGCAATTTTAACTAATTAACAAGGGAAGAGGTAACACTTGATTTACTTGCCTTTGTATCAGCAGTACCAAACACAGTGCTTGGCATTCAATGAACATTCACTGTAACCCGTTATTGAGCTTTCATCTATATTACTGATCAATGATAACGAAAAATAACAATGAATTCTCATCTAGAACTACTGAGAGATCTTGCAATCTTTCTGATTTTTTTGGTGAGAATCAAAGACTATACATCAAATGCTAAATTATGATCTATTAATTCAGGTAAAGTAAGTTGAGCACCTTTCCAGAGCTCACTGAGTATGAGTGCCTTGTCACTCTTTTCCCGCTTGCAGAATTTTACTTTCTGGGGGACTATTATCACAATTCATATATATATATATATATATACACACATATATACACACACACACACACACATACACATATATACATATATATACACATATATACATATATACACACATATATATTTTCACAATTCTATTACATATATAAAAGAATTTATATATATATTTATATATTATATATAATATATATAAAAGAATTGTGATAATGTATATAAAAGAATATATTTATATATGTATACTGCACACATAAGTCATATGGATATTCTTAACTCAGTTATTAAACCTATGTACCTTGCTGACTGACTGTATTATTTTCCATACTTGCTTATAAGTTTCTTCCCCTATTTTGTTGAACATTGCTGGCATGCCTCATTGAAATGCAATAACTATCTTACATTTATGAATTTGTTTCTTAACAGCATTATGAGTCAAATTAGAATATGTGCTTATTCATTTGCAAACATCTATAAGCCCACACTGCCCCACAATCAGGATATATGTTTTGAGATTTGATTTAGTAAGGTTTTTGTTGTTGCTTTTTAAATTCAGAGCCTATGATGCAGCCACAGAATCCATCTTCATTCTCTTACCTAATAACACTTATACACTTATAGGACATGGCCTATTAGGGTGAACATATTAACTAAGAAAATTAAGAAAGAAAATCCATATCTTCTTAGCAACAACTTCACTGAAAGGCCCAAAATACATATATTTGATGACTATGAAGAAGCTCTGCTGAAACTGCTACTAGGAACATAACTGAAGGACAGCCTCTAGCATCTGCACCTTTGCATACACCACTGTGTTCAGCAGGCTGCTCTTCAGATAGGCTGCTTCCAGCCAGTGATTGAGCTTGGCAGCCTTGCTAGAACAAGACCATTCCTGTACAAAATTCCTCTAATGAAAAGCTGTGGCTCTAGGAATCCCCATTGGCCTGGCTAAGAATTTTGGCATAGTTGTCTGAGACTTTTTCTATCCAATCCTGTCTTCCCTCTCTCCTTTTACAGGTTTCAGACCTATAGCACGGTCTGAAAACTGTCTATTCTAACCTCCTGCCTGTTTATCTTTCACAGGCATATCTGCCAATAAATCTGTTGTGCATCTAATCTCATCTTGTCATTTGTTTCATGAAGGAGAAAAACAGATACAATATTTGATGATATATACACCTATTATATACTCATAATATAAAATAAATTTTAAAAAGCCATCAATGTTTGCATAGTATAGATACACATTTGTAAATATACAACAATATGAGAAAGAAAATTTGAATTTGAATAACAAATATGTCAACAGACATATATCGGGTGTTATATTTTTAGACTGTGATGGCACCTACTTGATTTAATTTTATTATGCATTGGTTAATATTCTCTAGCATATTCAAAAAGGTTTAATTTTTTTAAACTATCATGTATATAGCAATGTATTTGGTAGAACAAAGACAAGAAAATTCAGCTTTCACTATGAGATCTGAAACAAAACATGATAAATCTGTCTCTGAGTGATGTCCTCATGATGTTCATCTTTGAACTAATAACAAAAATCAAAGCCTGAAGCACATTCACTGATTTGTAGCTGAGTCATTTATGGGGCAATACAGAGCTGCTAAAGATCACAGAAGCATATTCTGTCCAGTTTTTGTGCATACATTTTGATAAGGACAAAATATTTAATACAGTAGCAACAAGAAGATTAAAATCTGCATGTCTCCTTACATATTTTTTAACATTGCTGATTTGTTTTTTTATTGTTGCACTTCTTAAAGAATTTATTTTAAACAGCTAAAAAAGAAACAATGCAGTTTAAAGAACTGTATGTTCAACATTTTAAAGTATCAAAACTGATAGAAAAATTAATTGGTGTGCAAAATATTCTTATCACACTTAACTTTGTCATTTGATGACAATTATAAATGATTGCTGTTTTACATTGATAGCATATTAAGACAGCAGATTCGGTTGCAGTAACCGTCACTATTTTAATTTATTTGATGCATTTGACCAAACTGCATGTTTCCTTTAATTTCAGGAAAAATTCCACCACATGTACATGTACATTTTCCATAGAGCTATTCCTACCTCTCTCCAAAGTAACACTTGTATCTTACAAAAAGATACAGTCATTAAAAGAAAATGTTCTAATAACCAATGACCAGTGAAGTTCAATACCCAGTTGTAAGGAGAGTTCATATGCATTTCGTCTAATGATGTGAGGATAAGTAATGTAGTATACCTGCATCTTAGCAATAAATATGGTAAACTTTTGGTATTTTTGTAGAACTTTATACATGTTTCACAGGAAAAAGGAACTACCAAATAGGCTACAGTTAAAAAAAAGAAGAAGAAGAAGAAGGATAACAAAGCTGAATTAAGGTGCATTACTTTACTAAGCAAGCAAGACAAGGCTACATTTCTCAAGAAAAGAAAAAATAGTTCAGGTTATGTTATACACATTAATGCCAAGCTCCTGCTTCCAAATTAAAAACCAAGTTAAAAGAAAAGTAATCTAAACTTAAAAATTTATGACATGGTTTCTCAGAAGGAGATAAAATTCTACAAAAATCTATATTACATTTTAACATTCATAAATATATAAATATAAATATATGTAATATAATATATAAATATAAATATATGTAATATAATATATAAATATATAATATAAATATATATGAAAGTTAGAAATGTGGATATAGATACATTTTATATATAAAAAATAAAGGCCAATTTATAATTATTATCAATTTTGGCTGTTGAGAGAAACTTAATAGTTTAAAAATGAAGATGATAGAACTCAATGTTTCCTTGTTTAGTTATAATAAAACACTTGATATCTTTGAAGTGTAAAGAAATTATGTCTGATAAAATATTAGAGGCTCATATTTAAAAATTCCACATTTGTTTCATGGAAAGAACCTCCTTTACTATTACTATTTCTGTTACATGGGTTTTTTTCGGGGGGTGGGGAGAAGGGAGGAGGCTACATATTCTGAAAAAAGACTAGCCCACAAAATAATGGCGAGATTCAATTCTATTTAAATTGTTAAACAAATAAGTCTAAATAACTTTCTAAGAATTATTATTGATTTAAAAACATAATGAATAATAGTATGGTACACATTGGAGAGTGTATAAATTAGTTCAGCAATTTTAGAAGACAATTTAGAATTGCTTAATAAAATTTAATTGTATCTTTTAATTTTTGCATGCATCTTTTAATTTTAACAAATCCCCTATCCTCCCAGCCCAGTGACTCAAATGACCCTATTCCACCTAATTTTCACCCCCTTGGAGAACTTCAATCCACATTTTCACTGTCCAGCACCTCACACATTCCCTTACTTCCATTCTAACTTCTATGATTTGGTATTATAATTATTTGTTTATAAATACTGGCAACTCTTTTAGGTCTTATTCTCCATCATGGTCTCTTAGAGAAATTAAACTCATTAAATTTAACTATTTGCTGACTTAACTGTCCTTCTGGGTTTAGTAGGATGCAGTTAACTGAAATCACTTAACATTTATGGCCCCTAATCTCAAGTGGGCCATAAACCCAGAAAATGTTCCATATTTCCCCAGAATATTCACTTTCCCACTTTCCAAAAAGATAATTTTGCTCCTATTGCCCCTTCTTAAACCTTCTAAATTTCTCTTCCAATTCAATTCCATTTCTGCTGGTATACTCACTTCATTTTTCACTAATAAAATGGAGAAAATGAGTCAAGAACTACTCTGCTGTCCTGCCCAAATTCATCCACCCACCTGCATCTGAATTTCCACACTCTGTCTTCTTTTTTTTTTTATAATGCAATAAACAATCCCTGCTTCTATCTAAGACTAACTCCCTCTAAGTGTCCCTTCCTTAGATTTCAGCTTTGCAAGTATCTTCACTCTTTCCTGCAACATTATTTTTTCCTTCTCTACTGGAATATTTATACCTATATAAACATGCCTTAATTCAATGTTTAAAAAAAATTTATGTGACTTTATGTATCTCTTCAGGTTCATTTCTATGGTATCCTAAATTGAAACCCCATTGAAATAACTAGTTAGACTTGATACCTCTTCTCTCTCACCTCACATTCCCTCAATACAGTCCAGCTTAGCTTTTGTCCCCAACATTCCAAGCAGACAATAGTATTGAGGTCGCTAACAATGCTTTCGTGTCAAATCAAAATGATTAGTTCTTCAAGCTTACCAAAATTAAGCAGTTCTCATAGCTTGATTTGACACAATTGACCATGTCCTTCTCAAAACACTTTCTTCTCTAGTCTTCCTGAAATTAGACTCTTTTTGTTTTTCTTCTACCTTACTGCACATCTTCAATCACCTTTGCTTCTCTTTCTCTTCTTGACTTCTAAGATCACTCTTTGGCACTCCTCTATTCACACTATACCCTTGGATAATCTTAACCAGTTTCTTAGCTGTAAATATTATCTATGTGCTAATGACTCACAAATTTATTCTACAATCCTTTCACCTGAGTTTCAAACTCGTAAAACATTACCCATCTCAAAATTATTCCTTCCCAAAATAATTCCTTCCTTCACTCAACAAATATTGATTGAATGCCTATTAATGTGCCAAATACTGTTAGAGGCTCAAATAATACACTAGTAAACAAAACTGCATATTCCTGCTTGGATATCTAATAGGCAATTCAAATATAATGCATCAAAAGGATACCCTTGATTTTTCTCATCACAAATTATGAAAGAAAGGCAACCTATCAGTGTGCTGGGTTACCTTTTCTTTCCCTCAGATGCACCTTGCTTGTTTCCATCTCAAGAAGTTTGCAATTGTTCCTTCTGCCTAGGATGCTTTTCTGATCAATATTTGTATGGCTACCTATTTCTTATCCTTTAGGACTTACTCCACATATATTTTTCTCCCATAACCCTAGCTAAAGGGCCTTCCCCACACCTAAATCACTCTCCATCTTCTTATCCTAATTTGTTTTCTTTCATTGTTTATATTTTCTATGTACCACATAGAAGGTGAACTCCATCTAAGTCACCACTATAGCTCTATTCCAAAAACAGTGCTTGAGACATAGCAAATTTTAAATAAATGTTAAATTAACTTAAGAAAACATTAAGCAAGCTGTGTATACCATAAGATCCTACTTTTAATGAAATATGTACAAGGGCACAGAAAATTTATTATAAATAATTTTCCAAAGTAATCAAAGCTAACATTTGGCCAGTTAAACAGTTAAGGCATATATACTTCAAAATTTCTATGTTAATGTACAACATCTAACTGTAAATGTATTCCTAAATGTATTAATGTAGAGCCAAGACCTTTTTCATGGGTCTGCTGATTGAATTTCCTCTTCTGTTTTGCATAAGCTCCAAACATAATGGATTATCCATGATTTTCAACTTGTTTCTTTTAAGTGAAACAAGAATAAAGAGATACTTGCAAAGTACCTTTATCAATTTTTTTCATGCAGTCATTTGAGTTTTCATAGAAACAATGTTATGCTTGCACTTTTATTTAACTGTTTTATGTAATGTTTAATTGAATTATGAATTAGTAGGTACAACAAGAATAAACTGGTTATAGAAAAATAAGAATACCAAACCACGGAGTCAAAATACAGAAACATGATAGTAGCCTCCTGATGGTGAGTTTTCTCACTTCTGTGGATGTCAATCAGTATATTTTAACCAGTGGATACAGAGCTTTGGTTACTCTTACAAATCGGTTAGGGGAAGGTGGGTTAAGAGAACTTCTACTGGTCCTTAAAATGATAATTGTCATTTTCTTTGCTTGGTATGTTAATAAATGGAAAATTGTAATTGTCTTCCACATATTTTTATAGCTTACAAATTTGCTACAGTACATAATATCTATGTAATAGTAAATGTTCAAATTATGATGTTTTAAAAGTGAGTAATATCTATATTTACCTTGAGATTTTGATTGTTTCAAATTTTAGTTAAAATAACACTTAAGTGAGACTTTCAAATCAAGAAAACTGTGCATAATTTTTGTCAGTTAAATTCATGTGCACCTGCCTTAGGGGCTAGAGAAGTTCATATTTTAAAGACATCTCACAGTCTTTAATTTATCACTTATTCACTTCCCTTTTCCTTTTGATTTAGTAAAAAAATTGGAAATAGGAATAAATATTTGAAGGCTGCGAATGAAATCTGAGAAGTTTATTTGATAGACAACATTAGCAAGAGTAATATTTTGCTTGAAAGCCGGAACCAGAATTCAAATTAACATCTCTTCTCCCAAGGCATTATTCGTAAGACCCCTGACACAGGTACTACGAAGGCACAGGCTGTTCCGGCATGACTACTGAGAAACAAGGGCACTAAAGTATGCAGTAATTCTTTGACATTCAACACTACTTAAATTCTCTCAGCTTCTGGAGTCACTTAGTCTAGGTGGCCAAATAGGTTGACTAAGTCTTTTTCTCTGAAGGATTGTAAACATATGCTCCCAAAAGTCTGAAATTTTTTTCTCCATTTCTGAAACAAACAGAAAACTGAGTCATTATAGAAATGAGAAACAATTTTTCAGCTTCCAGCTTTTTGTTGGACCTCTCTTCCTTTAAGGTATTACCATCATCTCAAATTTTCCTGTTTGCAATCAATACCATCTCCTTTTCAAGCTCCCTGCTTTTGCAATAGCCCCACTTCGGTGAAAAGCACTAGAGTCTTCCTAGTCACCTAAGCTGCAAAGCTCTAAGGCCTCTTTTGTCTCCGTACTATCCTTCCCTATCTCAAAAAGATCTTCCCATTCAATCATTCCTTTGAGCCCCCTGGGCTCTATACCAGTCCTTATTAACTCAGGCTTGAATTGCAGGAAGCCTGCTACCTGCTGGAGTGTGTCTTATGCATTCACACAGAGCCACCAGATATGCCTTCCTGGAAGCAGGATAGGGCAGGAAAAGCACAAGTTATCAAGTTAGAAGGGACTGATCTTAAACGCTCAGCCTTAACCTTACTAATCAAATGTCCTTGAGCAACATGCTAAATATATTGGCACCTCAGTCCCATCATCTGTAAGTGAGAAATAATGCTCATCCTACAGCATTTTTGTGAGACTTAGAGTTAGTGTAAGGCAAACATATCTTTATATAATCACCACAAATTGCATGATATTTAGCAAGGCATGGTAAATGATATTACTTTTATTGCACTCTCCTGTTCTAACATCTTTAATGGCTTTCCATTATCTTCTTCCTAAATGGCCTTCCTACTCTCATCTATTTTTATCAAAATGCTATTTTATGTTTATATTTATACTTGAGATTCAGTTTGAGCCCTATCTTCCCCCAAATTCCTTTTCCAATAACATCAAACTGTCAAATTTTTATAACGTTTATAGCAGGGGTGTCCTGTACTTAGTGATGCTAAAATAATAACAATAACAATTATTATTATTATTATTAATTTAGTTCTATGTGAAAAGATAGAAATATCAAATTCTCTTTGTATAGGGATTTTTGTTTGTTTGTTTGTTTTGTGAGACAGAGTCTCTCTCTGTCACTGAGGCTGGAGTGCAGTTGCATGATCACGGCTCACTGCAGCTTCGACCTCTCAGGATCAAGTGATCTTCCCACCTCAGACTGCCAAAGAGCTGGGACTACATGCGTGTGAAACTATGCCAGGCTAATTTTTTCCATTTTGTTTGTAGAAACGGAGTCTCAGTATGTTGTCTATGCTGGTCGTGAACTCCTGAGATCAAGCAGTCCTCTCACCTTGGCCTCCCAAAGTGCTGGGATTACAGGCAGGAGCCACCAAGCCCGGCTTTGGTGTAGGTTTTCATATTGTGAATGGATTCATTTAGTGACTTTTTTCTTTTAAATAGATTAAAGTCAACTTTGCACCTTCTCTCTGGTAGCCATGTATATTTGGCTTTACTGAGACTACTCTCTCCTCTGTTTCTTAAATTGCAACTATATACATGGATTTATAGACACTGCTCTGTCCTTCACTCCTTAGTAGTACCCAGGGCTTGAAAGTTGCTAGAAAGAAAGTGGAAAAATTTACAAAGAATCAAAGAAACTCCTAGGAGAAAAACAATCAAGACCACAATCCAGGGTACCTTTGAGGGACTGAGGATGCTCAAGTGGAGTTAGGTGAGAGAACACATTCTCAGCTGAAAGTAAGTACAGTGTAGACAAGGCCTGATAGTCTCAGAGAAGAGCTGGATCTGGAAATAGCTTTTGACTGATATGGGGGTCCTAACTCAGCCACTATGGGCAGACTCAGAGGTGCCTTTTGTTGCATAAAGAACCAGATAACTAAACAGCTGGAATAGTGGGAGTCCAGGTCAATTTGAGAGTAAATTTGAGCTCTAGTACTAGTGATGAGTGACCAGACAGGATGTGAGGAGACAATTGGCAAAAATGGCCTTCAACACTCAAGGCAATGGAAGAAAGGATAAACAGAGATAACCATTTGACTGCCATATTTTCAGCAGAAATACCAGGACCCCAGGTCTGGCAGTAACTCTAGCACTGTGGTAGCACTTTCTGGAGTACTTCAAACCTGGCAGCAGCTATGAAATTCTCTAGCTTGAATAGAGTACATATGTGCTGAGCATCTTACAATGAAACCTGTGGTTCCATCAACCAGTCTGCTCAACCTGATCAAGTTTCTGAGTTTCTTTGACTTATCACAGGAATGTAGAATTTTATCCAAGTCCAGTGAGGTAACTACAAAGGGAGTGAACCATTCTTCATGTTAATTGGGCACATAACATTCTCAAGTTGTGTCTTTATGTAAAGTTATAGTTATATCCTAAACAAAAAGTAGATAAATGCTCATCTAAATGCACTGTTTTCTATATACATTTCTCACTGCATGCCAGCATATTTTTTCCAATGATTTAAGGCTACGTTTCACTTGTCTTATTAAACTGATAATTCTTCAAGTGCAAACATCATGTAATCTATCTATTTATTTATATTTTTCTTATCCTTCACATGATATAATACCATACATTGCATAGAGTAGATGTTCAGTAAATATTTGGAGAATGAATGAATGAATAGCAATACATAGGAGGTTTTTTATGAAGGATCGATTTGGTACCATTTCAACATCTGTGTCTGTTTACTAACTTCACTTTCCCCTTCTGGTTCAATTTGGTCACAGGGCATTCTGAAGATTAATGAATAAAATATGTATGAGTTCTTTTAGAAAGGCAAATGAAAGATCAACATAATATTTCCTCTGCATAATAAAGCAGGAGAATTCCTAATATCCGTTAGGCAAATTCACCCTAAAACTCTTCATTTCATTTTTGTCTGAAACATTCTTCTGATTTATTAATGTGGATTTAAAAAGTATTGGCCAAGCATATCTTGGAAATTAGTGCATCAGAGTAGATTCTTGACCATTTCTTAGGCCTTTATATCACAAAACTGCATAGGCTACATTTTTTAAAATTTGCCTTTCTAATGTAAATATAATTACTCAGATAGTGTCATGAAAAAAAAGCATCAACAATTTGATATTAAACTAGCTATGTCATGTTCATTCATTTAGTTAATCTCACCCAGAGCATTAAAATAAGCAACTACCTACTCTTAAATTTAAAAGTAAGTAAATATTTACACAGTTGCATTCTTATTCAGTTGTCGCTTTTGTATAAACAGGGATCAAAAGATCCTTTGAGAATGATGAACTGTACTCAGAACATAGTAGCATCTGCACTAAAGTGAAGAAAGGGCATTTATCTTGAAACAAATGGATATCACTTATGGAGGATCAACTACTGGCCAGACACTGTCTTCAAGTGGTGCCAGAGTTATGTATTCAATCTTTAGAGTGACACTGTGATGTAGGCTGGTTTCATCGAATAGCTAAGGCAACTGAGGCTCAGAAATATTAAACTGTTAGCAGAAGTTTACAAAGGAAGGAATAAGCAGACTGTTTTCAAGAGTTAGGTGATTTAGATTACAAAACTCTTGCTCTCAGATGGAAATAGAATATATTTAATAGTCTTCTACTACAGGCATGAAAAACCTAACCAAAAATCCATCCTTTAATTCTGTGTCCAACAAGCCATCTTTTTAACTTAAAAACGAAATGATCTGACATTGAGAAAAAATGATACATATCATTTTCATAAACTTCTACCTAGACTTAAATATCTGTTAAATAGGGATATGTTATTGTAATAGCACATTTTAAATCATTGTAATTGGGCTCATTTTAAAAAGAAGACTACTGGATTCAAGTTTTAAGCAGATTCTGTATGAAAGCTTCTTATGATTGTATCCAACACACACACACACACACACACACACACACACACACACACACGTACACCCTAAGTATCTACTACAGTGATTTTGCATACAACAGATGATAATTAATGCTGAAATAATGAATCAGTTAATTAAACCACAAGCACTCTGTCAAATTCTATGTTATAAGTCACAGGGCCTTTAAGAGGAGGCAATAATATAACTCATAATTATAAAAAGCCAGGTAGGTTTTCATCATCTTATATGTGAATTCATTATCCCTTTTGATCCTTATGACAACCCACTAAAATTTATTATTTCTATTTGACGAGTGAGGCTCAAAGAGATTAGGTAACTTGCCTAAAGTAATAGCATTAGAGAGGTTTGGGAATGAGATTCAGATATGGCTTGTGACCTCTATGTATGAGTTTAGTCTGTAAGGAAAGAAATAACAGGGTTTAGTAGACCAACTAGCTACCACCTTACCCAAAACTGGTGTGAAATTCTATAAGGTTAAAAATGAAGCAAAAAATCTGGCTGCACATCTAAAGTAATTTTTTTTTCCTGGTTTCTAATTCATCATGCTCAACTTTTTCCTTTAGATGCTTAAGGATTCTTTTATATTTGCTTCTGACAATAGTTTAGGGATCTTTCTTTCTATATATAACCTGCCTATTCTATGTTTCTGAATCTATAAAATGAAGATGATAACTGCCCCATGATGTCTTGAGTTAATAAGGCAGAAACAGCAGTAAAATGCAGTAAGCATTAAATACAATTCACAATTTAGGTTATTTATATTAGATGTCAAATACAAATAGTAACATTCGCTGGTAGCTAGACTCAGAATTTGTATAAAGTCATTGTTTGGGTCACTATTCCTAGGGCCACTGTATACATCCTAACATCCTTAAAATTCATATTCTTTATATATGCATATACTCTTATTTCTAATAACAGAGTTGAGTACTTTTTTGGATCAATTAGGCAGGAGAAATTCTACACTGGTGGGATCCAGAGGTAGGTAATTTAAAACAAAAGAAATGGAAATATCTACTGAGGTATATATTTATATTAAAACATCAGAGGTAGGATTATTGTGCATTATATATAATATAAATTTTATTATATGCCAAGTTCTATATTTATGATAGTTTTTAGAATCTCTATTTTTAAATAAAATTCCTCTAAAATTGAACATGACTAAAAAAAGCTGCAATGTGTTCATTATAAATCACAGCAGGGAAAATTGTTAAATTTCTTACAGACATATTGATTCTAAAATTGATGCAATCTACAGTTACGTGTGTCATTTGTTTTTTAATATTTTAATAGTTTATAGCTAATATTTAATAACAAAAATATACCAAAATCTGATACACACAATTGATCCCCTACTTAACGATGGTGCAGCTTGTGATTTTTTTTATTTTATGATGTTGCAAAAGCCATATGCAAAAAGTAGAAATTGTACTTCAAGTACCCATACAACAATTCTGTGTTTCACTTTCAGTACAGCATTCAATAAATTCCATTAGAGATTCAACAATTTGTTTTAAAATAGGCTTTGTGTTAAATGATTTTGTCCAAATGTAGGTAAGTAATACTTACTTAATGTAAGTATTCTGAACATGTTTAAGGTAGGTGAGGCTAAGCTATCATGTTAGGTAGGTTAGGTGTATTAAGTGCATTTCTGACTTATGATATTTTCAACTTATGATGGGTTTATAAACATGCAATCCTGTCATAAGTCAAAGAGCATTTGCATATACTGAGTGTACCAAGTCCATGTATTATAAATGCTTATCCTATTAATACTGTGACCAGTGACACTGTCTTTCTAGTAAATAGATATAGATATGTATAAATAGTATAGTTTAGTACATAGATAAATATAGGTATGAATATGATTAAATAGATAAATATGAATATTGCTTACTATTCACAAAAGTGCGTGCTATGGTTTGACAGTGCCCCCTTCCAAAATTCATGTTGAAACTTAATCCCCAATAAAACAGAATTAAAAGGTGTGGCTTTTGAGAGATGATTAAGTCATCATCACTGCATTAAGCACTCATGAAAGAGATTAGCAACATTATAAAAGAGCTCCAGGCTGAAAGGACCACTCTCTTGCCCTTTGGTTTCTCCCACCATGTGAGGACACAGTGTTCCTCCCCTCTGGAGAATATAAGAGGGTGCCGTCTTGGAAGCAGACAGTTGCTTTCACCAGACACCAATCCTGCCAATACCTTGATCTGGGCTTTTTGGCCACCAGAATTGTGAGATAAATTTCTGTTTTTTATTAATTATCTAGTCTTAGGTATTCTGTCAGAGCAGCACAAACGTATTAAGATATTACCTAAGATAATATGATAATATGAATTTAGATATAAATAAGAATTATATATTTTTATATATTTCCCTCTTATTTTATATTATTTATATTTATATAAAATCATATATAAATGTAAGTATTCAACTAAATGCAAATTTTAAAGACTGGGATGAGGCCAAGGTATTTTTTTATATGGCATTGGTTTTAAATTTTTGGGGGGAGGAGCCAAAAACAAATTCCAAAGATTATTCATAAAACTGAAATAATATGGGAAAACCTATAGCTTTGATAATTACCACCAGTCTACTCCATCTTAGTTCATCCCAAATACAACATATAGTTTAGTTTGGTGTATTTTTACCCTGAATGCAAACTAGTAGCCAGAAAACATATTCTATACATTTTAAAAATAGATCCACTCTTCCTTCTATGATGAGAGTGCACTATAGTTACAGTAATAAACTTCCTTAGCCAGAACTTTGCTGTAGGATATTATGAATATTTGAATAATAAGATTTCTTATTTGTAGGCCTCAATTCCATCTCTTACTCTCTCTTCTTTAATAATTTCAACCAGTATTTGATGCTTTTTAATTATTTTGATTTTCTATGTTAAATGTAGAATATTTATAATTATCTTTTAATTAATTAGCGTGAAAAAACATTATCCCAGATTTATATCCCACTGTTTCCCAATCCACTCCTTTAACTTACAGCATTGAACATTATGTCAAACTTGCTGTTAACTTCATTCTCAGGTTAGAATCTGAGTGCCGACCCCAGTGAAATAATCCATTCTCTATTTTCTTGACCATGTTGTATTTCCTTTACTTTGTGCCCTGTACTTGCTTTCTCAAGTTCAATGCCTTGTTACCTCAATAACCAGCTTGGCATTTTTGTTTTTCAAGGTCACATTCATTGCTTTTATTAATTCTACCTTGATGCCACAGTCCAGATGCAGATGTGGAGTCTTAAATCTCAGAATGTTGTCAGTTCTCAGACTCTGCAAAGTTGGACTTCATGCTCTTGTCAGGGCATTGGGCATCACCTCTTCTGGGTGTCCTTGACATTGACTGTCCTTGAGGGGCCCTCCTTCCTGAACGTCACAAATTTCTGTCTAGCTAGACTTCCTCATATCATTGGTGATTCGTCATATCCACGTAAAACCATATAGCTGTTGAAGGAGTTCAGGATATGCCACCCCAAAATATGCCACTTGTTGGATCATATACATATACATATGATATAATCATATCACATGATATCTGTACATGATCATATACATATATATGATATAGTCACATATATATGCATATGATCCTACAAGTGCCATATTAGATATATATAATTTTTTATTTTTATATAATGTTATATGTATATATCTATCTGCTCACAATTTGCCACCCCTAAAAGCCTAAATCACTTTTCCTTTGTATTGGCACTTTTCTAAAAAGATATCTTTCTTTGTTAAGAGGCTAATAAGTCCACGTTCTAACCACCCCTTGAGCTATTCCCATCTGAGTTCTTCAGTGTGAGTAGGTGCTGCATACAACAATGAACTTCAGTTATTTTTTCATGTTAGTCTGTCTTCTGTCAGAGGTCCCAGACAATGAACAAACCTAAGACAGGTAAAGTTTTTTTTTTTTCTCCCCTACATTTTTAAATATAAAATAAGAGACTGAAGAAAATTGTGTGCAGAAATGTATTTATCCTTTATAAGTTGGTGTCACATAATATTATATCAATGCTTTGAAGATAAATTTTGCTCTTCAGGGTGAAGGGGAAAAAATCTCTCTTGATTTACCCTTACTTTTCCCAAGTGAAAAGTTTGAAAATTGACCTATAAAAATAATATGACCATAAAGATAATGCTTCACTGCAACTGCCATTTTTCATGTAAAAAACAATTACTTAAAATAGAAATTCCATATCCATCAATTTTAGATGCTTAAATGCTGCTTATTTAATCTGTGGATGAGAAAAGGCAATTAGACGAAATGTTCTATGTTAATAAAACAATGGAGGTTTTTAGGTCATCTCAATTATTTGTATTTAGATTTAACTTGTAGCTTAGTGCATCTTAGAAGATTAATATGTACATAAAATAAAGAAATATAGTGCCATTCTGTTATTCACATTCCATGCTCCATGTCCTTTTACCATTCATTAAATCAAGCATATATAAATGTAACAAATGTTGTACTTATGACTTCATTACATACTCTGAAATATACAAGTATTTCTGCCATATTTTATTATATTATGGACCCCAAAATGTTTTTTCTGTGGTAACAACAAGAATAAGGCTAGTAGTTATAACATTTATGTTAATAAATTTTGTGAAATGTTACACATTTTTCGACAAAATACTAAGAAGTTATGTTAAATTCTTGGTAAATATATGTGTGTCTCTTGCTATCATAAATGATTACGGAAAACAGGAAATTTTAACAAGAATTTTCAGGAAGACAGGAAAGAAGATCCAAAAATACAAAATTAAGAAGCAATCAACATCACATTTTGAACATAATTGTTATATCAACAAAGATTGTGAAGTGATCAGAAAAACAGTTACTATCTTCTGATTTTATCAATTCCCTTAGTTATTTGATGAAATAGAGGTATTGTCTTGATTACCAAATCCTGAGTGCCTGGTATCAAATCCTGTGTGCTGCATACAATACACAGTATTAAAATTGATTTTTAAAAAGTTAATTCATCAATTCATTATGTTGCTACTCTTTATTCTTTTATTTTGGTGATTTAGTGCAATATAAGATGAAGCCAACTTTTTCAAAATGCTTCACCAATTTAAAAAATGTTGAGTTGGTTTGATCCATTACTTGCCAAAACCTTATATTTATATTCATTTCAAATGAATTAAAGAAAAACAGCTAAAATTAATTAAGACAAGCAAATAGCAGCAAAGGTGGGCTTGCAGTTGTTCTAGCAGTAAATGAAAAAGCCTGTCTGTTCTGTTCATACTTTATTTCTCTATGGTTCTATTTCCATTGCTTTTTTTTTTTTTTTTTTTTTTTTTTTTGAGACGGGGTGTTACGTTGGAGTTTAGCTGGGTGAACACTGTTCACTGCAGCCTCAACTTCCCAGGCTCAAGTGATCCTCCCACCTCAGCCTCCCACATAGCTGACTACAGGCCTGCCCCACCACACCCAGCTATACAAGTAAATCTTTATACAGTAACAAATGATTACTTGTGTCACCTTAGTGGATGAGCTAAATTCCTGCTGTAAGATGTATATACAAGATGCTCATTTTTATTTTAAGATACTCAAATAAAAAAGGAAATTATAAAGTCTGGGGTCTGTGGTCTGTTATTATAAAGAAATAACTGTTAGGGCTTTAGAATTAAAACACATAAAGACTCACCTCTCATAAACATTATCTCTTCCTTTGTAAAAAGAATGGGAACTACTCTTCTAACTTACTATACTTTCACTATTTAATCAAAAGTATTTCTAATGGCCGAGCGCAGTGGCTCATACCTATAAATAATCCCAGCACTTTGGGAGGCCAAGGTGGGTGGATCACTTGAGGTCAGGAGTTGGAGACCAGCCTGGCCAACATGGTGAAAACCCATCTTTAGCAAAAATACAAAAATTAGCCAGGCGTGGTGGTGTGCGCCTGTAATCCCAGCTACTCGGAGGCTGAGGCGCAAGAATCTCTGCAATCTGGGGAGGCAGAGGTTGCAGTGAGCAGAGACTGTCATTGCACTCCAGCCTGGGTGGCAGAGCGAGACTCTGTCTCAAAAAAAAAAAAAAGAAAAAAAAGTATTTCTAAGCTTCTGTCATTGAGACTAGCCTAATTACATCTTCTAAATGATTAGATATATTGATAATAAAGTACAAGAGGGCAAATAAAATGCTCTCCAACATATATTTGGGGAAATTAGAGGAACTAATGATTAGAACACAGATGTAATATGATTAAAATAAATTAACAAATGCATTTATTCAATCAGGCAGTCACTCTCTCATTATGAGCTCCTGTTTTACACCAGGCATTAAACTAGGTATAGGGACTTCAAAGATTACAATATCTACTTCTTGCTTCAAAAGAGCTAACAGTCTATTGAAAAAGTGATGTAAAAAGAAACTAAAGCACTAGAGTTAACTTTCAACATGGAGTTATACATAAAGTGCATAAATAAAGGACCACACATATAAAATATCTGGAGGACTCAGCACATTCAATCTAAAAGGTAACAGAAAACCTGAAAATTAGAGTATGAGTAGGAATATGCCAAACATTCAAAAAAAGGTAAGTGGTTTAAATAATGAAGTATCCTATGCTGGAATAGGTGATACATGATGAGTGACAACACATCAAAGGTGAGATGAGAGGGTGGCTTGGTGGAACAGGGAGCAAGCAAATATGAGGCTGGACAAATTGGAAAGAGCCAGACCATAGAAGGCTTTTTAGGCTTGGCAAATGAGCTCAAGTTACACCTAGTAAATGATGAGGAGCCATGAGCAAAGTTCTGAAAAAAATCATACTAGAAAGAAGGTGAATGTAGGAGAGAGATGTTAGGAGTAGGACTTCAGTGAGGGGATTATTAGGAAAGCCAGGGAATGATCATAACTAAGATAAAGTTCTGGGTTGAAAAGATGAATGTAGTTAAGAAAAATATTGATACAGTAAAATTGACAGTGCTTAATGATTTTTGAGGTGAAAGGAAATGGAGATAGCGGTTGGTGTCCAGGGTTTAAACTTCTAAAACAGTAATATCCCTATAGAAACCCAAATGATATAGTCTATCAATATGATTATTATTGATTTGTGTAATACATTTATATTATCAAGGAAATATGTGGTATTATCTATCAGCACAAGAAAAAAAATACTGATAATTAAATTAAGCTACTGAATGGATTACAGGTACATTGGTATTAATATGCATATGTATATTAGAACCACTGGGAAGGATTTCTGGGATATAGCTAGACTGTTTAAAATGTACTCTGAGGTGTTTGTCTTTACCTGAAATTGCTGTAAACTCAATAAATCAATAACAAGTATCACCATTGTCGGGCTCTGATTGGCACTGGTTCAAAAGTGAATTCTCATCCTATAGTAAATGTGCTACATAAAGGCAGACAATGTCTGGTCAGAGGACTGGGGAAGATGTTATCTGATTTTGCAATAAAGAACAGTAGTAACGCTCATTGAAAGGTATTTGCACACCTCTAGGAGCATGAAAAGATGGGAACACAATACAGAATGCAGAGTATGGAAAGAGTTTTACAATAAGGGGTTTATGTCTGGGAAGTTCAGAGCACTAACTGGATGGCATTGTGTGGGAATGGAGAAAAGTGGGATATCATATGTTAAAAGAAAACCCTCATGTGTAAAAGAAGAGTGTTGAGCTTTATTTCTTCCTCCTTAACTAGATCAGGCTTGGAAGTACTGTGTGAGTTGGTTCCTTGGTTGGGTTTATACCAAGTGAAACTAAAAATTTTACTGAGTTACTAACATTAACATCTTTAATATGATGACCCTAGACTGCAGAGAAAGAAACTACAATGGCAAGCGAAGTGGTTTTGTATTCAGTAGTCATTTAACTGATAAACAGTCATCTCAAAGGCCAATTAAAATCCTAACTCAACTAGAAAAACTCTTATGAATCCAATTTACTGTTTCCTTTTATAGCTCAAACATGAAGAAAGGATGTCAAAGTCTGAGCACTATGATCTTACACAATGGCAAATGATTATGATACTGATAATAATAGGTCTTGCTCCAAGCACTAGAAACTTTGCTGATAATCCCATTTCTTTATGGGACTATAGGGGATAAAAAGAAAAAGAGATACATAAACACTGAGATCTCATGAATTGACTGAAGGGAATGTTGCCAATGCCACAATGCCAGGCTATAATTCTTTTTTCTCTTTTTTCTAACTAGAATCCTCTTAATTTGCTGACTATATTCATGGTGGAAACAGCTTATTAATTTCTTTTCCTAAACATTTAATGACTTGTGAAAATGCTTACAATTTTAAATTGAAAAGAAAAAGAATACTTATGTAAGACATAAATATGCCCACATTTTAATACAGAACTCAATTGGTTTTATTTTAATAACCATATGCTATTTTATAATTAAGAATTAATGTTACATAATGAAAATATTTTATGTATTTTTTTAAAATTTTGGTACAATGTTATATGATGAAAGGATTTTAAAATATATTAATTTTCCAAAAGGGAAATTGTAAAAACAAAATCAATCTGCATCTATTTTGAAAGAAACCTTTATTTTAATGACAAACTTCATATCTACTTTATATTTAAGAACTATACCAAAGGAAAGAGAATTGCATGGAAAATTCTTCTAAATAACTCAGAATCCATGGTTTATATATAATGCCCAGGATTTTTAATAGACACATTTTTTCATCAGTCCATTTTCATTTTAACATTTTTCCCCTTCCAAGAAATCATCTGCCAGTTCAACAGGGAAAAGCAGAAGAGGAATAGACTCGTGCTAGAAAGAGAGAATGCAAATTTGTAATTCTCCTAATATCCTCTCTCTTTTTCCATATTGTAGAGGTTAATTCTCTCCAAGAGCTTCTACCTTGGAAATTAATACATCATTCTTTGTACTTATCTGTCTTTCAATAGTTTACATAAGTTGCCACAAATTAGGGATTACTTCATTTCGGGAGATGATGTGTAAAGTCACAGAGGGACTCACATAGCTATACAGAGTGTACCAAAGTAAAATTGAATAATTTTTATGATTCTGATACATGAAGGGGCACATTAGTCATTGGACTTATTTATCTGTGGAAGTAAATATATAAAAGTGTAAAATTGTGCTGATATCTACTGATTTACTTTTCTTAAAACCATTTAATAGTGCTATTGAAAATAAATAATAAGACATTCATCCTGAAATCAAAGAATTGTAAAGAAAGCTATTATAATATATAAATATTTTTATATAATATTTAAATATTTTTATATAATATATATTTTTATATAATAAATATTTTTATATATTATATAAAAATATTCACATGATCATAACAACAATTTAAAGGATAGCATACATTATAATATTAAAAAATCACATTGTCTTAAGTTTCAAAAGTTTGATTCACCATCTTTAAACTGGTAATAAAATATAACATTTATAATTTTTTCTAGTTTGCATTTTATTTTAAATCTGGCTCCACTTTGAAGGAAAATATTTTAATTTTTAAGTTATTTAGGTATTTTCCTCTCAATAAAAATTCTCAAACATAAGTTAAAACTAAACTACTAGAACTGTTCAACTATCTCTTTATGCAACGAAGTACAATTTCCCTATAGTGTTTCTTTTAAAACAAATTCATACGGATATATTTTGAAATTCTAGTAGGTGATTTTTCTCACAAACTGAAAACAAATGTATTTTTTGTTCCATCAGAAAGTTGATGCCTTTAGGCTAACCATTTCTTCTTCATAGTCTCTATGAAGGCACTCAATTTGTATTACAAAACCTTCTAAGGATAAAAAAATCAAATTTTCCTTTTATCCCTACAGTATCAAAAACAAGCTTTGAAGCTATTGAAGTAATTAATGGAAAAATTACAAGCATAATAGAAAAAGCTTTTCTACATACATGTAAGGATAGAGGATGTTTTTGTTTATAAATTCTCCATTTAGACTAATACTCATTAAAAGCAGATGGTAATTTCCTATGAAATGTAAATATCACCCCACTGCTAAGCTATTTCCTTAATTATAGTGATACTTTAGTCTGTAGAAAAATGATTTAATAAGAAAACATCAGGCATTTATAATTTTCAAAAATAACATGACACATACCTACCAAGTCTGACAAGGTAGACACTAGCCACATTTGGCTACTACAGAGTAAATATGACTGAAATGTGACTACTCTGAATTAATATGCATGATGTCAAATACATACCATCTTTCAAGGATTTAGTATAAAAAATATAAAATGTCTGAAGTCATAATTTTTATATTGATTACTTATTTAAAAATAATATTTTTACATAGTAGCTTAAACAAACACTGATTTTTACCTATCTTTTGGAGGACACAGTATAAGAAAACTTAAAATTATGTATGCCTTGCCATTAGATTTTTATTGTAAGCATTGGTATAAACAACTAAAGTTGTTTGGCATAAACAACTAAGTTATATAAGAATATACCCTTCTTTCATAGTTTATGCAATAGTGCCGCTTCTGGGTTTAAACTGGGACTTGAAAATGACAAATGTGATTATTGATTAGTCTTCAGCCTTAAAGAGTGAGTAAGCTCATGCGAGAATTTTGTGTGTTTTGTGTGACATAAGTCATTTATATAACACCAGATACCAGAAATCATCATGTTGAAGAGTATTCGTATATTGATAGGTAAGATCAGAAGGATAACTACCAGATGTATGTCTTCTTTCAGTCTCTCATTTCTCCCATGTAGGGCACTAATTAACTTTACAGAAATTCCTATGTTGTAGTACCCTGGTGATAGTTGTAATGCCTTTTGAGATACTTGGATGGAAGCATAAGCTTTTCATATAAAATTGATTTAAAAAAATTGTTAATACAAGTATTTGCATTGTAGCTCTGATATTTTGCTTTTAATGTCAAACAATTAAACTGAAGTTTATATGTATGCATATAAACCCAGAAGTTCATATGTATGCAATACTATTTAGAAACACACAAACTGATCTTTAAGTGGGTATTCATACCGTCATAAATCCATCCAGCAAACCTGAATCGGGTTTCGGAGGTGCCTGCAATCGTTCCATCGACCACTTTTCAATGATGGAGGAGACTTGGGTATTTTCTGTATTTAATATTCTGAACCCTGTCATGTTAACACCACTGTATCGGTAGGGCTCAACATCAAGAGCAAAGAGGTCCTGAAAGACAAATGTTATTGTGTTGTTATTATGGACAGAGTATCTTCACAGGCATGTATTACTGAAATAGTCACTTTTTTTGTTTTTTTTAGGTCACTTAACACCTTTGTGTCAAGTGACGTTAAACATCACAAATCACCAAGATTCAAATAGACTGTCCTCATGCTTTGGCATTGCAGAGATACATGCTCCGTATGTAAAAATCTATGTATATATTTTATTCTAAATCCGCCAGTGAAACAATGGGCTCTTCTACAACTCACATCTAAGATTTGCAATAGCTTTCTTCTCTCTGTTTAGGATAGCTTGCCCTTATTTTATGTGTTAATATTTTGCTTTAATTTTTTCTGTGTCCTGCTTCCTCGCCTGGTTATTGCTGTTTTTAATTTTTTTTTTGTCAGTGTTTCTTTGTTTGATTGTTGTTTTTAGAAAGCAAGTCACAAAATACAGCTTCTAACTAATGAAAACTGTATGAAAGGTGTGAAAAAAATGCTAAGGCCAAGACTAGCCTTTTTGGTTGCAGAAACAATACAGTTCCTTCATCTCATGTCTCACACCTAGGAACTTCACTATAAGTTTCCAATAAACACTTTATGCCTGTTGCCCTTTCTAGTCTGTATATAGTGAACTTTCTTGCTCTGCCCTTTAGTTGTCCCAGGAGATATGAGGCCAAAGCTATCATGGAAATGGATGCCACCATGAAAACATCCAGCATGTGGAGTTTTGCCCTCTTTCTAGTTGGCATAGCTAACCCTCGAACTTATGGACAATATTGAGAATCAAGGCAAGATTAATGCCATTGGTTCTGTGAACAGCTTGCCTCAGACTCATACAGCTACACAGGCTAGATAATAAGAATACAATTCAGTGGAAAGCAGCTGGCATTGGCCTGAGCTCTAGTCTGTGCTATGAAAAACATAGGAATCTTTAGGTTTTTATTTTTTAATGTTTACAATCTAGCCAAGGAGATAGGAAAGAGGTGAATAAATAAAGGATGGCAATATATGCCAAGTGGTAAAAGAGTAGAAATCATAAATGCAAAAGAAGTCAGAAGCAAGACAAGTTATTTTCAATTTGTATGGTCAAGAAAAACTTCACAGAGCAGATGGGATCTTAGCTGTGATGAGGCTCAGAACATGCTACCCCCAAATATGGTACTTGGCTATAGGAAATTGAGAAGACACAGAAGCAGGAAGGTCACTCTGTGACCTTATCCCACCTTTCTCCCCTGAAGTGGACCATAAAAGAATTCTCTGACCTACCCCCACAGAAAGGAGGTCATAAGACTCTCATTCCAGAGGGATCCAGCCCTATACCTGGAGGTCAAGAAGAATCTCAACAATTTGGCCTTGCTAAGTTTTCTGGATTTATTGCCATTAGATCATAACCTCCCTTTGTCCAATAATTTTCCTACATAACTATCTACTCTTTATCAAACCAAAGCAAAAAAAAAAAAAAAATCCAGATTTTCCCATTTCTTTGAGTCTTCATTTCTGATGGCTTTTGTGTCACATAAAATTTATATTAAATACATTTTTAGGTGTTTCTCTTGTCAACCTCTCTTTTGTTATAGAGATCTCAGCCTTGAACCTCATGAAGTGTGAGGAAAAGAAATCTTTTCTCCCCTACAGCTGCCATTAAAGAAAGACCGGGCTGATGATTGACAAAAAGAGAATTCAAAGTGTGAGTGGAGACACAAAAATTAGAAGATATAAAACCTATTCAGGAGACTGATCCACATCAGTTCAGCTATAAATGAGAATTCCTAAAGGAGAATAGTAGCAAAAGGAAATGGGAAAGTTCGATTAGGATCAAAGTATAAAAGGCCTTCAAATGTAGGCCTATGAGTTCTATGTATCCTAAACTAGTTGTTTCATTTATTTTCCCTATTGAGAGATACTTTTGATTTCCCCAAAATCTTACGCTTATGCTGAGTTGTAACAGCACTGAAATATAATTTGCTGATGAGGGAATGCTCTCACTTCCTCTCCACCCCCACCACTAAGTTTCTTACAAGCTGCAAAAAGTTGTCTGCTAGGAAATAATATAGAGATATGCCAGAGCCAGCTTTGCTATTTTTAAGTAAAATACATCCTACTGCATGAATAATCTCCTTTGGAGGTAAGAGTTGTCATCACAGGAAGCTATTGCAATCAATTAAATTTTAATAATCTGATCTGGCAGCTTCAAGACTTCTAGAAGCAAGGAGACTAACTGGAAGAATTTCAAGTTAATGAAGAAAACTTTGGTTAGACTGGTTGTTATGGGAATGGAGAAGATAGATGCTAGAGACACTACAAAGGAAAAATCAGTAAAATTTTGTTGGTGATACAGGAGTCAACAAAAGTTGAAATTTTTAAGATAATCAGAAGAGACGTCAATTCAGAGGACACTAAAGTTTAAATATTTCGAAATTATCTAATGGCACAACAATTAAAAGTGTTTTACAGTATACAGTAATTCATAAATATTACATAGAACATTTAGACCTCATTCGAACGAAGATGTTAACTGAGGCTCTAAATACAAACCAGTTCTGAAGAAAATAATTGAAGAGAAAATAAGATTGGATGAAGTCCAAACTTGGAGATACTCATATTTGGGACATGTGGAAGAAAGAATTAGTAAAGAGACAGCTGTTTTACAGAGAAAGAAAGGTCAGGATAATGTATTGATAACAAAATGGAGCTAACAGTAAGTTTGATACAGGTTAAAGTCAGATTTTCATACATTATAAGGGAAAATTGTGTGATGGGTATGTGAAAACAAAATATAAAGGTAACATTCAATTTGCTGATGGCAAATTAAAGTATATTGACTTTTTAAAAAATCTAACTAAATACAGGCAAAAGCAGAATAGAAAATGTAATCTACTGAAAGGACAGCTTCAATACATCTGATTTTCAAAAAGTGAATACAGCTGAGATAACATAAGAATTTGTGCTTTTCTTGTCTTATTCTTTTCTTTTTTTTTTTTTCTAGATGGAGTCTAGCTCTGTCGCCCAGGCTGGAGTGCAGTGGCACTGTTGGCTCACTGCAACCTCCGCCTCCCAGGTCCAAGCAATTCTCCTGTCTCAGGCTCCCGAGTAGCTGTGACTACAGGCACCCACCACCATGCCCGGCTAATTTTTGTATTTTTAGTAGAGATGGGTTTCACCATATTGGTCATGCTGTTCTTGAATTCCTGACCTCAGGTGATCCTTCTGCCCCGGCCTACCAAAGTGCTGGGATTACAGAAATGAGCCACTGTGCCCGGCTGAATTTGCGCTTTTCTAAAGCACTGATTTCTCAGGAAACTAATTTCAAGATCCATTATATTCTGAAAGTTCTCTAAAGCAACATAAAAATAAGATATGCAATATTTTGAATTGATATCTGAAATGATATTATTTCAAAATCATCAGCTTCTATTAAGAGTTGTCCTCTCTGATAATAATTTTGGTGGAGTCTTATCAAATTAAAATATAACTACAAAGGAATCAGTCATAATACTTCTTACTAAAAAACCTATTTTTCATCTGAAAAAGTCATAATAATAAAATTCAGAACATTTTGTTTTAATGAAGTACTTACCAGAGTGGTAAAGATATAATGATAGTATTCTGTCATCATTCCCATAGCTAATGCCTAAGGAAAAAAAAAAATTACTGAAGGTACATATTTCAGGAAAGACAGTATGTCAGTAATTCAAGTGAGAACAAAATATAGTAGGATGTGATAAAGAATCAACCTACAATATTCATGTTACATACAATTAGGTTAAACTAAATCTTTTCCCAGTAGTTAAAGATTAGTGGTTACTGAAGGAATTTCTGAAGCAATTCTCTAGATAGAAAAGCTATTAGCTGAATGTTTGCAATTGTAAAGCTATGGCTTAACACATTAAAGAAGGCATTAAATTTGACACAAAACCTGAAATTAGCACATCTTAATTTGTTACATTCGTAACGTCTTCACTACAAATACTCCAATGAGGAACACCATTTTATTTTAATGAACAATATTACTGAATTAGGAAAAAAGTGCTGCAAAACACAATGCCAACAGGCATTTATTTTAGCTCTTTAGAGACATTTCCATAGCATTAATGAAGGAAATGTAAATTACCACTCTTATTTAAAAATTACATATAATTAAAGAAATGTTTTTGTTGTTATTAATAAACTAGTCACAAATTACTGTGTTTTATTTCACTCTTCTACAGTCCTCATCAATTTTAGACTGTCAATCTTAAAAACAAGGACTTTTGGGTTAGAACTTTTAGTTATAACAAGTGTCCATGTCATTTTCTCTCCAAAAATAAGAGAATGCTTTTGAAATAACTGCTTATCAATGAACAGCAGTTGGCAAGGATAATTAAAAAACAATGCATTTTTAGTTGAATGAAGAGTTCTTAGTAGGAAACAATTATTCTCAGGTACATCTAATAGCCTTCCAAAAGCCACTAACTACAAAAACTCATTTATGAAGTAGCTGCCTCAACTACATTCTGCATATAGAAATTAATGGGTTAAAAAATAGAAGGAATAAGATCTAGTATTTGATAGCACAATAGGTTGACTATAGTCAATAATAATTTAATTGTATATTTTAAAATAACCAAAAGAGTATAAATGGATTGTTTGTAACATAAAGGATAAATGCTGGCTGGGTGCAGTGTCTCACACCTGTAATCCCTGGACTTCGGGAAACCAAGGCAGGAGGACTGGTTGAGCCCAAGACCAGCCTTGGTAACATAACAAGACCCCATCTCTACAAAAAAAAAAAAAAAAAAATAGAAAAGAAAAATAGCCAGGCATGGTGGCACATGCCTTTAGTCCCAACTACTCGAGAAGCTGAGGTTGAGAGGGTCACGTGAGCTCCCAAAGTCGAGGCTGCAGTGACAGAGCAACACCCCATTACAAAACAAACAAACAAAAAACAGGGATAAATACTTGAGGTGATGGATATCCCATTTACCCTGATGTAATTATTACACGTTGTATGCCTGTATCAAAATATCCCATATACCTCATAAATATGTACACCTACTATGTACCCACAACAATTAAAAATAAAAAATAAAAATAAGAAAAGCATCATGCTCATAAATCAGCATTAACCAGTTAGGTAGGATAGAATTTGTAGTTCTGCAACATGAATTCTTTAAGAAGGAATAGATATTTGTGAAAAATTTGGAATGTATCAAATATATTTAAAAAGGGAGAAACATTGGTTAATGAAAGGTGGCATCAAAGAATTGAGCACAGGAAATTTAGGTATCAAATTACCAAATAATATTTCTTCAGTGGGTAATACTTATATAAACCAATAATATTCGGATTAAAATTTCATCTCAAGCAAAATAAGACAGAATTTCCCTTATTAAATACAAATTTACAAGATCATATTTGTAGAAGGCATTCATTGCTCCTGATGGATATGTTCAGATGGCTCCCTATCTCCAGTACCATTCAATGACAGCTCAATATTATGCTTGGCAATTTTTTTTACTTTATCAACTCTGTAGGTATAGAACTAGAGATAAAGGTAATTGAAAGAAATAACGATTCAGATGTATAACTAAAAATAATACTTATATAATGCTTAAAATTTGTCAGATACTATTCTAAGCACATTACATATTTAAGCCTCATAAAAACCCTAGAAGTCAGTCCTACTATTATGTTCATTTTATGGGTAAGGAAACTAGGACATGAAAAGAATGAATAAACTGTCCAACAAAGTGAGACAGTGAGTAAACATGGACTCCAGGTCTCTAATGTGGAGTTTGGAATCTATGTCATTTTCTAAAGTGGTATATTTCATATTCTCAAAGTTGTAGAACAATTTTTGACTCCATGCATTCTAAAATTTTTGCCTGTTCCTTCCTTGAAAATTTGAAAACATGGACGTCTCAGGCAAGTGCATCAAATTCTGCTTTGGTGTAGGGGAAGTTGTTGAGGAGATGGTGGAGAAGAAGATGATTTGTTCTGACATATGTATTTCCAATGGCTACAGGTTTTTCTTCATCACCTTGAGAAGAAATCTATGAGGGTAATTGGAGTCTGTTTCTGGCTTTCATTGACCTTCTCTCAGCTTTTGATTTTGAAAACAAGGATCAGTTAATGTGCTGTGATATATGACGTAGAAAACGCTGGGAGGCCAGGCGCGGTGGCTCATGCCTGTAATCCCAGCACTTTGGGAGGCCAAGGCAGGTGGATCACGAGGTCAGGATTTCAAGACCAGCCTGGCCAAGATGGTGAAAGCCTGTCTCTACTAAAAATACAAAAAATACGCTGGGCGTGGTGGCAGCTGCCTGTAATACCGGCTACTCAGGAGGCCGAGGCAGAGAATTGCTTGAACCCAGAAGGTAGAGGTTGCAGTGAGCCGAGATCGCACCATTGCACTTTAGCCTGGGCGACAGAGCCAGACTCCATCAAACAAACAAACAAACAAAATTGGAGGTAGAAATAGTAGTTATTTTTGATTAAGTACCTACATTGTAACCTTACTCAAAAAGAATGAACAACAGGAATACTCTCTTAAAAGATTAGTTAATAATTTCCAGTAGAATTTTTTTTTAAATAACTTGCTCTGGATCTGGTTTTAATTATAGCATGTCTTACTGCTACTTTTGAGTGAATTGTATGCACACTTCAAACATATTAGAGAGAATAAAATCAGTATGTTTTTATGCACAAATAATATAATAATTGCCTCAACATAAAAGCGGTTGTCATATCATCTCTCCTAAAAGAAATACTACAGATTAAATTTTCTAAAGTCAAAATATTATTAGAAACCCCAACATTAAGCTGGTGTAGTGCTATGCTATATGATGAATTAACACATGCAGTTATCTAGGCAGATAATATGCAACCAGTTTATTTTTCAGGTAAGATCCAGAAATCATATTGCTCAAGGTCAACAATATGAGGGGGGCCTATACACATTTCTTCAATTTTTACTTTATTTTACTTCACACCACTGTAGGATTTTATTAGCATTTTCTTTTACATTTTTTCCAGGCTAAAAGTTTTTATTTCACACTCTCTGATCTAAACTTTGAAGTTCCTGATTACTATTTTTTCCCTGTGATAGAATGTCCTTGTGAGGTTTTACTTCAGAGGATCTTGGCTCTGCCCTAGGGTATTTTCTTTGATAAATCTGGATGGAGGTAGAATCATCTGCTATGGAGGCATGCATGCCAATTAGTGTACTCAACTTGCCTCAGAGGAAATCTACTCAACCGCAAGCTCCACTCACTTTTAAAGCTTTCTAGCAGGAAAACTTCAAATTCACTGTTGTTCAATACCTAGTAAAAGCTCAATCAGTTTAAATAAATAAATTAAATAAATTACACAAACAAACGCACAAGAGTAAACTGATTAAGGCCATTTATTTTTCTGCATAGTCCTATTATTCATTCTTGGATGAAGCCAGACTAGCTGAAAGCTCATCTATTTTTGCTCTTCAACTCCTATACCATGTCTTAGGAGTTCCAACATCAGTGAATGTTCAGGAATCTCAGAAAAATTTCACAAATCACAAAATAGGACCCTATTAAATGCACTGCTGAATTTCCTAGAAGCTATTCACTTTCTTCTTGGTTACTAGAATAACTGGAAAATTCAAATGTGAGACAAAGTTAAAAATAACACCACCATATTTGTGGTCTTCTGGTATAGGACCTCAGAGGATGCATACTGTATAATAATGTCGCTCTGGATTCATCTCAACTTTCATATTCTCATTTTACCTATTTTCTAATTTTTCATCTACTGACCTTGTTAAAATTACATTTTTCTGTTATATGTATTTAAATATTCTATTATTTCTGTTTTCCTTTTGCAAACAAAGCATGTTTGCAAAGAACACATAAGAAAACAAGTATAAAATAATAAATATATCTAATAGAAGTCAGAAAGCAAGTTCAAATTTAAAGGTGACAGGCTTCTCACCTTCCAGATAGCAAAATAGTGAGAGTTAGTTCTTTAGAGAAAAGACAGCTGATCATTTACATACTTACTAGAAGCCTAGAGAAAGCAGCCAAAGCTCTGTCACTGAAATAGCTTAGTGCCACTCACTCCAGGAGTAAAGGAAAGGTCTCTTTTCCAAGCCTGTGTATTCAAACCATGATCAGGAATTGTTTGGGAATTATGTGAAATAAATCTTGACTCTAGAGTTCAGTAGTAATCTTAGTGCGTTGTTTTATTTGTTGCCAAAAAAACCCAAAAACTCTCATATGCTTCATTATCCAAAGATAAAACTATAGCAATTTTTCAAATCAAAGTAAATATTTTACTGTGAAAATCAACATTTATATTGGAATATTGGATAAACATCTGCTTAATAAATTAACCATGCTATAACAGGCATTTACTATTGGCAGTTATATTTAACGGGATATAATTTGACATCTGAATCTGCGTAACTCTCCAGTAGAAATATTTTGTCCTATACATGAGAGGTTTCTAAATGACTGACTAGTTCCAAGCTACAAAGGTGTCAGCTCAGTGTGCATAAAAGAGTTTAAGAAACAAAATCCAAAAATTTGTGTTCAAATCCAGGCTCTACTACATAGTAAGTGTAGGGCCTTGTTCTGGCCATTTAACTCCCAACTTCAGTTCCTTCATCTGTAAGATATGGACTGATAATAATTTCTGTTTTCCAGTTTGCTGTTAGGTCTGAATAATGCTGACATAATACTAAAAGATTTCACAGCTACAAATTGTTTTGTTTGATTGATTTAGAAGGTTTTGTTTGTTTGTTTGGTTGGTTGGTTGGTTTTTGTCAGGCAATGCTTTATTCTGGAATGAATACTTGTTAACATCATTAGGTTGGATATCAATCCCTCTGCTATGTTCTTGCTACTTGACATTGGTCAAGTTACTTGTTCATTTTGGGACTCAGTTTGTCTGTAAAGTAGAGATAGTCCCTACTTCTTTTTGTTGTAGTGATGATGAAATAAGATCAAATATATAAAGTCTCTTACAGTAAATATCAGGTAAATGGTAAATCTATTACATCTTTTTCCTACTGGCTGATTGTAATGAGTGAGCTGCTCAACTGGTTGACTCTTAGTTCCTTCCCTCATTTCAAAACAAAAAGAAATAACTATCTCATTAATCAACTATCTCATTAACCAACAGCATTGCAGTCATTTGAAAATAACCTCCAAACTTCCAACAACCCGTTTTGAAGATCATCAATGTTTACATTACTTTTCTTTTAAGACAATTAATTAAAAGCAATTGTCAGACTTTCTATCATAAAATTACATCAAGGTTATTATAACTGATTGCATAACAATAATATTTTGATTTAAAAGAAGATCATATTGTAAGTGCAAGTTTATGAAGAAAACAAGAATTGAAGTAATTTAAAGGTTACCTGTTTTAAAATGCCTGCTGCCATTTCATGGCTACAATCAAAGATTACATGAAACTCCTTGCCTCTTTTCATTTCTTTTAGTAAGGGTTTTGCATCCTTTGTATCAGCAGGTAACTGACGAATTTTGAGTCGAAGATTATACCTTGATGGAGCTTTGATGAGCTCTTGCAAACGAATGAGACCTTTAATTAAAATGGAAAAAAAAAAAAGAATATTAGAGATAAAAAATAGAGTAGGGCAAAGAATCAGAAAACACTCATTAGAATGTATAATTTTCTTCTTATTTCATTTTAATTTTTGTGGTTACATAGGTTTGTATATTATAAACTACATGAGATAGTTTGATACGGCCAAGAACGCATAATTTTCTTGACCATGTATAAGTGTATTTAATGGTGCAACTTGAAATTCCTGTTTCAAAACAATTCCATATCCTCTGTTATTTTTGTTAAAATAAACATTTCTCAAATTCTTTAAGACATTTTTCAAGTTATAAAAGAAACACATGACTAAAAGTTAATATAAATAACTTAAATGTATAAAAAGACATAGAGTAAAATAGTTTCCCTTTATACCCCAGTTCTACTCCCCTGCAGGCTGTCACTATTAAAGGCTTGAAATACTGTTTTTCCATAACACGTTCTGTGCGTTTACACGTGTACACACATAGCTTTGTTTGTATTGTATTTTACATTAATAATTGTTTTGTGATAATGCCTTAGAGGGCCTTGTAAGTCAGTGATTATTATTCTAGATTGCCTTTAATGAACACTGTGTTTTATCACGCACCTAATTTATGTAACTATTCCCTATTATTAGAAACTTTGGTTACTTGGTTTTCATCGTCAGTAACATGTAATGTTCTGGTGAATAACCTGGAAACTCAAGTTGGTGTATATGTAACAGTGAAATAACTTTCCTTAATAAAATAGATTTTAAATAGCCTGAACCATAATTATTTTAAAAAATAATGCTAACAATTTTTGTATTGTTTTCTAGTTAACAACATTAAATTAAAAAGTAAATATACCTGCACACATTTGTAAAGTAAGCATTCTCCTAGAGAAGTACCTGATAATTAAATTAAAAATATATCACATTAATGAATATATTTCCAATAAGTCATATAACTGTGATGCATTTTAAAATAAGAGAAAAATTATTGAATGTATTCCTTTATACAGTCTTCAAGTAATGAAACACATTAAAGAGCTGACACAAAAGATCCACTATATAAAAGAGTGTGAAAAGAAAAAAAGATCATCCAATTCCATTGCAGCTTGGATCAAATGAAGCAATTTTCTTTTCTCCTTCTACTCTTTCTTCTTATCTTTTAAAAATCTCATCTCTATACTAGTATCTATTTCTATTTTCCCTGAAAAACTACCTTCATCAATACAGTATGACAAACAATGATAAAGCAAAATATTTGTAAATAATCAGAAACTGTCTCTTTTTCCTTCTCTCTGTTTCTCGAGTGTGTGTGTGTGTGTGTGTGGTGTGTGTGTGTCTGCGTGTGCGTGCGCGTGTGCGTACATGTACTGTCTGTATGTATGTATACATACCTGTTACTTAACCTTTTTGAAAACAGGAGTAAATATAAATAAAAATAAATGGAGGGTAGAGGGAAGAGAGGGATGGAGAGGGGATGGTCAGTGGGTACAAAGTTACAATTAGAAAGGAAGAATAAATGCTGGTGTCCTGTTGCTTAGAAGGATTACTATAGTTAACAATAAGGTTTTATTTACTTCAAAATAGCTAGAAGATTTTGTCTGTTCTTATCACAAATAAATGATAAATGTTCAAGGTAATGGATATGCTAATTACTCTAATGTCATCAGTACATATATACATATGTCAAAACATTACATTATACTCCATAAATATGCAAAATTATTATGTATCAATTAACAATAAAAAATGTGAATTCACAAATATACTTGGTATATTTTGTTTTAAAAACACATGGCCCCATAAAGTTGCTTCACTGTAAGTTATACAGCTTCTACACCTAACAGCTTCTACACATAACAGCTGCAAAAATTGCATGGTAAAATAGTATTACCACATTTTGTTTTGCAAAGTTAAATATTTACTAATGCTATTTAAATAAATACTACATAAAAATTGATATTAAATGCATCCATTAAACATACTACAATAAGTTCTAGAGAAGTAAGATGTGTTTAATGAGTACAGGTGTTAACATTGAGCTGTAAAGAAACAAAAATAGGTACTTGAACTTGTAATACCTGCTAGAGTTTAATGTTCGGCTATGACGTCCTTCCAAACATATATGTACAGAAAACTATACATTCAGAAAACTATATATTTCTTTGAACATGGGAGTGCTCTGCTACTAAATTAGAGTACATTTTACAAGGTAACTCTTTAACTACTTTTTATAAATAAACCAGAGTATTCTTGCAGTAAGTCAGTAGTTCCTACACTTTGAAAGGTGTGGCAGTAATCTGTGGAGCTGCTTACAATCTAAACAACCAATTTAGAATCTTCAGAGGGTAGAACTCATGCATGCATATTTTAACCAATCTTCCCAGATGACCTTCTTGGTCATAAAAGAATGAGGCCAATTTCCAAATATAGGCCTGGTTTCACCTGGTTTTAGGTGTCATACGAGAGCCAGTCTTTGAACCACTTTGGCATAGCAGTCATACAGGATAGTAACTATATTATACTAACAGGACAATAAAATAATTAATTCAAAGCAAGATTCTCAACTTCATAAAGGTGAGTCAGAAAACCATAAATACAACTAACTGCAGAAAAAAGAGAAAAAATATTCATTTAATAATGCATCTAACAAATGTGTATGACTTATAATCTTCTTACTGTAAGTCCAACATTGTTCTCAACATTGGGTAGAACAATTCTGAGAAGTGTCTTTTCATGTCATTTGCCCATTTTTTAATGGGGTTATTCTTTCACTATAGAAAGACAAAATCAGATGAAGTTTCTGTGCATACAATACTAAAAGTATACAGGGGAAAATGATATTAAGCAAGTAACTACAAATGAAGACTGGCAAATAATATTTTGGTTGGAAAGAACACATCATTGAGGAATCATATACAGGATAATCTAACTCAGAGTGGGAGGACTCAGGGGAAATTATTCCAAAGGAGGTGACATCCAAGTTAATACATGAATAAAAAGAGAAAGAGTCAAAGGAATGCATATAGAAGAATAAACAGTTTTTATATACTGTCATGGAAGTGAGGGAGCAGGTCAGAGAATCTTATGAAGCAAAGAAGAATCAGTGACAAGCCCAGCTGTAGATGCAAGCACGGGGCTGCTTCAGAAGCTTTTGTAAAATACTTGAAAGAATTGGGGCTTTAACCTAAGAGCTGTGAAAAGTGCCCACTTGGAATCTGTAGTTCAAAAGAATTGCTCAGATTATGGAGGACCGATGAGAAGAACCGGGGAAAGAAATAGTTGGATTTTTAATAAAACCCATGCTGGCTAGTGTGAGATGGTATCTCATTGTGGTTTTAATTTGCATTTCCCTAATGATTAGTGATATTGAGCATTGGTTCATATGTTTGTTGGCCACATATATGTCTTCTTTTGGAAGTGTCTTTTCATGTCTTTTGCCCATTTTTAAATGAGGTTGATTATTTTTTGCTTGCGGACTTGAGTTCCTTGTAGATTCTGGAAATGAGACCTTTGTCAGAGATATAGTGTGCAAATATTTTCCATTCAGAATGACTATTATTAAAAAGTCAAAAAGTAACATGCTGGTGAAGTTGTGGAGAAAAGGTGGGAATGTAAATTAGTTCAGCCACTCTGGAAAGCAGTCTGGAGATTTCTTAAAGAATTTAAAACACCATTCAACTCAGCAATCCCATTAATGGGATATACCCAAAGGAATATAACTCTACCATTAAAAAACATGCATGTGTATGTTCATCGCAGCACTATTCATGATAGTAAAGATGTGAAATCAACCTAGATACCAGAAAATGTGGTACATATACACCATGGAATGCTACACAGCCATAAAAATGAGACCATGGCCTTTGCAACAACACAGACAGAGCTGGAGTTCATTATTTGAAGTGAACTAATGACTGAAAAACTGCCTATTGGTATTATGCTGATTACTTGGGTGACAAAATTATGTGTACACCAAACCCCCACAACACAAAATTTACCCATGTAACAAACCTGCACATGTACACCTGGAAACTAAAATAAAATTTGGAAAAAAAAACACATAAAAATAAGGAATAAAATCAAATCGTTAGAAGATAGTAGTGATAATGTAAGAGAGGTAAGATGCATAGTCAGGGCAAAATATCAGGCAGAAAAAATGTGGATGGAATACTGAGATATTTATAAGAAAAGATGATTGAGATCACTTGGTGAGGAAGAGATCAGAGTCTGGGAAGTTTCTGACTTCTGGTTGGGCATCTGGAGAGAGAGGGTGCTTTCACTGAGTGTGAGATCATGGGAGGACCATACAATTGAGTCAAAATGAAGGGAGTGATCAGCCATGTCAAGGGTTGCTAACAAACAAATCTCAGTAAGCACTTTTTAAAAAATGATTATTGAATTTAACAAGATCATTGCTGTTCCAGGCAAGGGTAGTTTCAGAAGGGTTGTGCGGGTTGGTTGTTGTGTCATCAGTGGGAGGGAGGTAAAATACAAACCGCCACTCAAAATCACCTTCATATATTTCCATAAGATAGTTTGAGCATCCATCCTAGCCATATCTAATACCCTTGTAGGAAAGTATCAGCCCCTCTCTAATCGATCATCAGTAGCAGATCCATGAGACACCTTAATTTCCATGTCTTCTAAATGAAAGTTTTATCTAGATCAGCAGCTCTCGAAGTGGCTCCACAGACACCTGTACCCTTCAGAAGGGTCCCTGAAGTCTAGCTATTTTTAAATAATACTAAGTAGTTTTTGTTGTTGTTTTTGATATAGTCTCAGACTCTCACCCAGGCTGGAGTGCAATTGCGCGATCTTGGCTCACTACAACCTCCGCCTCCTGGGTTCAAACAATTCTCCTGCCTCAGCCTCCCGAGTAGCTGGGATTACAGGTGCCCACCATCACACCCGGATAATTTTTGTATTTTTAGTAGAGATGGGGTTTCACCCTGTTGGCCAGACTGGTCTCGAACTCCTGACCTCACGATCCACCCGCCTTGGCCTCCCAAAGTGCTGGGATTACAGTCGTGAGCCACCGTGCCCAGCCCTTCTTTGTTTTTTTAACTTCCATTCTCTCACACATGTGCAGTGGAGTGTTCCAGACGTTACAGGACATGTGATGTTACAACAGATTGAATGAGGAAGCAGATGTGAAAATCTAGCTGCCTCCCATTAAACTAAATAGTAAAGAGACTTATAAGTATATAAAATAATGCTACCCTTCTCACTTTTTTTTTTGTTTTGGAACATCTAGGTACTTATCATAAAAATATAATATTTATGTGAAGAGGTAGTTTACTATTGTTATTAAATAACTAATAATGAATTTAATGTTCCAATTTTTATTGCTAATATGGTATCAAGGAATATAGCACATATTTCAAATACTTTTAGAGTTATTCAATAATTATTAAGGATGTAAAGTGGTACTAAAACGAAAATGTCTAAGAATTGCTAATTTAGATTACCCCTAAATTGTTCCCATTTTAAATTTCTATCATTCTCACAAAATTATTTCCATAAATGCAGAATAATCAAATAACAACCCTAGGTGAATAAAGAAAATAAAAATTGCTTTTGCCCTACTTACCTCACAAGATTTTGTGAGCGTCAAATGTAAATTTGGGGGATTTAGTCTATTATAGCTGGGGTGTTGGGTTTGAATCTCAGTTCAAAATTTTACAATCCGTGTGGCTTTGTGCAAGGCACTATGTTACTCTCAGCTTTGATATATTTTTCTCTATAAGAAGGTAAAATCATCTATGGTTTAACATGTAAAACTCTGAAAAATAAACTGGCATATATTAGACTCTCAGTAAATGGCTGTTTGTCATTATGTTTATATTGGGTAACATGGGAAAATATTGTATTAAAAATGTACTAGCTACTATCTCTATTTTTGGATGATATTTTGACACTGATTTAGATAGAAAACCTAACATTAGAATTAAAAAACATTAAGAAATTAACTCATTGCCAAAGGAAAGGCGTTATATAGTTACATATTAGCTCATAAGTTTTGAATTGAAAAAGCTCAGCTGACCCCAAAATAGAAATTTTCTGAAAATAATGTCCACAAATAGTTTTTGTAGAGTTCATCCTAAGGATAAACACTGCCAAGTATTTTCAAGTCTCTTAAGAGCTCATGTTGATAGTCCATTGAGCCATCAGGTACAATAAATGTTTACTTATTCTCTTCACACTCATACATCTCTGCTGGCATTAATGTAACAGATTTCAGTTTGCCAGTTTCCCTGGGGAATAACATTGAAGAGTGAAAAAAAGATAAAAACCTCACTACTAGTAGGACCTGCCGTCTCCTACTTAAAAATTTGAGTAAAATGTTATCTTCATTCATTCATTCCACATATATTTTTTGCACATCCACTATGTGTAAGACACTGATCCTAGATAAATATAATGACTGGAATAATATTACTTATTCAGTCTTCAACTGCATGAGATACAGTTTGACTCTGGCATTTTTTTTAAGTACAAAAGCAGTTTCTATAATGCTTTTCACATTCAATGTTTTAAAAAAAATGGCTTACTATTTCAATCAGACAGAAACAGTCTAGAGAACAGTTTAAATACAGAATGCAGAATCATTATTTTTAAATTCTCACTTTCCATCAACTCCTGCACCAGGAGTTGCTTAGAATCTTCTCTTAGCTTCTAAGCCTCTCTTGTTCTGTCCCATGATATTATTTCTCATATTTCCATATTTATTTTCATTCTTAATCCTTTGCTTTCCTTATTCCCTGACATTTAGATACAAGTCTCTGAATTCCATTATTTAGCACACTCTAGAAAAATGGAAGATGGTTGACAAAAAGAAAGATGCATTCAAGACATCCAAAAAATAGATGTTTATCCACCCATTTTATGTGAAATACACAAAGGCATTCCTGTAGTATAACTTATGTGGATGAAGGTTTTTATCCAAAGAAGTATGGACTTAAGTAGCAGCAATGTTTTTAAATTACATTATTGGCTATATATTTATTTCTGTGGGTCTATATCCATCTTTTCACCAGCCATGTCTTCTCTTTGCAACTCATCATGTTCTAAAAATGCCAATTGCAGAAAAGATTACCCTAATCAGACATATCACACACAAGCAAATATGCATACTTGGTAAAATGAGAGGTTTTTCTCTTTTAGGAAAAAATAAGTCTCTCAAAATAATTGAGATGGTTTATATGTCTTCCTATCCTACAGTCCATTGGTCAAAATGAAGAAATCAATGGACGCTTTGATTTGATGAAATAAAAAGGCAAAATTAATTTTGCTGAAAATGTGGTTAATATAAATAATTTACAAACAAACATTTTCAGAATTATTCTTTACTAACAAATTTGGTGCCTATTTAAATTGTTAAATTATTTAATGACAGAGTAGAATTATAACTCCTTAAAACAGCCTTTTAATTAAAGTGTCCCCTTCTTCCCTAATGTAATTAATTGATGTAATGATAGTAAAAAACAAACAATCTGCACAGATGGGCTCCACAAAACCTTCTAACAAAAAAGGGTACCACATTGCAATTATCCTTATATTTTGGTAGATGAGTAACATTCTATTACCTCTAATTCCTTCACTAAGAGTACAGTACTGTTATTTTTTTTTAACCTTTTTCTACTTTTACTTATTTCAGTAGTAGCTGAAATCAAGGTTTGTCTTTATCTTACAGGGACAGAGGGCTGAGCTGCTCTTTTAAGAGACTGTCATCAATTTAGCTTTTAAGGAGAATCCAGGAGGAGACATTTATGCACACTGCAGCTGGCACTCTCTTCTAAAGAGATTAATCACACCACTTCTACGGCAGGCCTCGACTACCCTATCCCCAGGAAGGGAGTCCCAGGTTTCCTCCCATACCCAGGTATCCATTTTGGCAGCTACACAAACTAGTGATTTGCCACCTGGCTTAATCATCAGGCCTATTTATCATTTCAGTCAGTCTTTATGCAAGCTCAGACTCAACCCAAAATGCATTGTATTATAAGCTACACAAAAATGATTCATCTATATTCCATGTTTCATCATCATCTTTTTTTTTTCAGTTGAGAAAAGATAATAATTTATTCAGAAGCCAAAGTATGGCCTTTCAAAGAATTAATTTTATTAGAATGTATGTGGGCTACAGAAATGTTTTAAAGCTAACTAAATAGTGCATATGTACCAGCTATGGATTTTGTAATGTGTGGCAATGCTGTAAAAATAGAGAAGAGAGCTAACTATAATGAGAAAATTTAAAATGGTTTGACACAAGTAGTAGATTGGCACTGAAACAAAATCCAATCTCCAATTTTTTATCAGCCATTCTCTCCTTCTGGAGGTGGGTGGTGATGCGGATTTTTTCTGTACAGAGAACATTGAAAACAGAGATAATTGGGGCTTAGAGAAATAAGAGAGAAGAGAAAAGGAAATGAAAGGAAATCTTCAAAGAGTTTTTCACCTTCTCAGAGGAGGAAAAGAAAGCTATACAAAATAGAATTGGAGGGCTAGTCTCCTTGGGACATACTCAAGTCTGAATGCTAATTTTACAGAGATATTGCCTTCTTTCTTTGAAATTTTCTTTATTTTAAAATTATGATATAACCTAGTAAATTGAAGACCCAGAACATGTTAAAACATTTTAGCTTGATACATTATAAACCAAGTGGCAAATGAGTTTTAACTTGCATGTCAGGGATAATTGATTATTTGTAGCTAAATGAAGCACTGTGCCAAGAATCTTTCTGAGTCCAGTTCTGTGTCTAGGGGCATGTTTCAATACGGGATCTGACCCAGGTGGTGGGATAGGCATGGTGGGATTATATAATGGTTATCCCCATATTAAAATCTCTTGATTATTTTTAATGATATTAAATCATATCCATTATATTGTTTTATTAATGGCAAAGCCCTTCCACGCTTTGTAACAAAAATCATAATAATAATACAGTATAGATGATACATTCTAGGCACTATGTTCTCTTCGAAGCCAGGACACACTTGATAACCTTGAACCATGATACATTCAAATAAATAGAATTCCAGCAGGAATTCAGACCTTTACAATCCCATGAAAACATTTTAAAAGTGTACAAATTTATAGTCAGTTGCAACTAAAATCCTGTATTTTTTTCTCTTCTCAAACACACCCAAATCCTGAAAACACACTTTGACACTTAATACATGTACATGTGTATGTGTGTACACACTTAGAATCATACACATACATACTTCCTTTGCTTCTGTTTTCCTGGAAGTCTAGTTTACCTCTTCCCTAACTTCCTTCCACAGGAGAATTCGGCCATTATGTTTTTGTTTTTTCTACTCCACTCCCATTTGTAAACTTCCATACCAGAAATGCTCACAACCCTGATCTAGCAAAGCAGAAGCCTCTCAGGAAAGCCTAAGTGGGAGAGTCACTAACTAGACACCCTTTTGTAGGTAAGTCATGGAGAGCGGCTGAAACCCACAGGATGATCTTATATGTGGCATAACAATGTCAAATTTTAGAATCATATAAGTGGCATGGCAGCCCGTGGCAGGCAGATTCAGGCTGAATCCCAGGTCATTAACTCTCTCCTGAACAAATATAGACAAAGGTATTTAAATGTTTTAAACTTTAGTTTTCTCCCTTATAAGCATTTGATAATAATAATTATTACCATATAGGAAAAATCAAATGAACAAATCACTTAGCACTGTGCTTGGCACATGTTAACCCTTTTCATTGGTTCTGTTAACTGCTTTTCCTTTGGATCCCAGGATGGTATATATGTGTCTCAACAGGCCCTACTTGATCTCAAAATCTTGCCTGCAGTCCTGTAAGGGGTATCTTTATCAAAATGTTTTCATTAAAACCATCTAAGTGAATTTTACTTTCTGCTAGGACTCTAATACACTGTCTGTACGCTGGCATATCTCTTACCAGTCCACTTTCTCAAACTCTAGACTTTTAAATTCACTTTTCTATTTGGCATCTGTGTAATAAAGAATTAATTTTACCTAAAGAGAGATCCGGCCTTTGCCATTAGCTCCTGGGAGACACTCTCTAAGCCTTTGCCATGTCCTATCTAACAAGAGTGCTTTTGTTTATTTGGGCACCTTGGGCTAACAATGTGATTAGTCAAACAATGTGATTCATGGTAGAGGCTTTGAGCTATGTGGCATCAGCTCAAGTTCTGGAGGGGTTGGAGACTACAGGTCAGCCAAGTGGGTGGCCAGTCATGTCTACATGATTAAACCCTAATAAACACTTAAGACATTCAAGCTCTAGTGAGCTTGCCTAGTTGGCAATACTACATGCACATTGTTACAGGTCATTGCCTGAAGAAGTGAGCACTGTCCACAAATCCACTGGGAAAGAACAACTGAAAAGTCTGGGCACGGACCTCTCCTGGACTCTTCCCTATGCACTCCTTCCGTTGGCCAATTTTAACCTACATTGTTTTGCTGCTATAAATTGTATCCATGAGTATAACAGCTTTCAGTCCACTCTGTGACTCATTCTAGCAAATTATCAAACTTGAGAGTAATCTTTGGGACCCCTGAAATTGCAACTGGTGTCAGAAGTGAAGGTGGCCTTGGAGGCCCTTGAACTTTTCAGCTGGTGTTAAAGTGAGGGTGGCCTTCAGGGTGCCTAAATAATGCTACGTCTCTATTTTGATGATTAATAGATACTACAAACAGTATTCCCAAACTAGTTCTCCATCTCTGTACCCTCCAAAGCTGCTCCTCCCTCAATCATCTCTAAGTAGGATAACAGCAACTCACCTTTCCAGTTACTCAAATAAAAAATAGAGGTGTCACCTTTGATGGCATTCTTTCTGGCACAACCCATATCCAACATTTTAGAAAATCCCATCAGATCTACCTTCAAAAATACCTAGAAAATGACCAACTCTTACCTCTTCTAACATACTGGACTAAACTAACATAGTCTCTCAAATGGATTCTAACAAAAGCCTCCTAACTAGTATTGCTCCTATATATTTGTATATCCAACAGCAATTCATAACCTTTAAGGTTTATTTTTAAAATATAGAGAACTTAGTGACAGAAAGGTGGGAATAAAGAAGGCAGGAACTTGCCAAGGATGTTTTGATGCAGTATTAAACACATGAAATCACCTAGGTGAAACCATATTCAGTGTCTACTAGAATATAAAATTTTAGATTTGACTCAATATACAATGAACTCCAAAGCAGACATACACTATGACAGTGGCTGTGCTTCTCTTGGCCAGGTGGAGGGAGTTACTGTGATTCCAAACAACCAGTCTTTTCATAGAAAATTGTATAGTAAACAGCATGGAGAACAGAATGCAGTCCTACTAGGTGGTGTCTTAGATATAACCAGAAGTTTCAGGTTCTGGATGGGGGAAGCAGTAGGGTTAAGGAAAATGAAGTGGACAGAGAGTGCCAGAACTCCCATCATATGATTGAGGCTGGGCCCAATATGCAAGACTAGCCCTATAACAATGCCAAGGAGCACCTACCTGGTCATAGCCAGGGCTAAACTGAGGTGTTATATGGAGTGTATCTGTGATTCCAGCAGAGAAATGTTAAGGAAGGCAAGGGCTAAGATATTTAGCTGTGTCCCCACGCAAATCTCATCCAGAATTGTAGCTTTCCTGATCTCCACATGCCATGCGAGGGGCCCAGTGGGAGGTAATTGAATCATGGGGGTGGGTTTTTCTATACTGTTCTCATGTTAGTAAGTCTCACAAGAACTGATTTTTTGTTGTTGTTTTTTATAAAAGGGCTGTTCCCTTGAGCATCCTCTCTTGCCTGCCACCATGTAAGATGTGCCTTTGCTCCTCCTTAACCTTCTACCATGATTGTGAGGCCTCCCCAGTCATCTGTGAGTCCATTAAACCTCTTTCTCTTTAGAAATGGCCCAGTCTTGGGTATGTCTTTATTAGCAGTGTGGGAACAGACTAATACAGGCTGCCAGCCTGATTATGACTTATAAAGTCAATATGCTGTTTCTGTTTCTGCTTTCACTGATATGAAAAAAAGCAATTATGCCATTATCAAAAAGTAAGCAGTGCTTTTGGCCATGCCAAGGCTAAAACCTTTTGGCTTCTAACACTTTAGGGTCTAAGCTCAGTATATGCTAATTTCAATTTTCTCTTCAGAATATTTCAGTTTGTGAGAAGCCAGTAAAATTAATGTTGCATTTTAATTCTATCTCTTTGCTTATTGCTATTAAAATTTGCTTGCATCTCAATCGTGAGAGAAATAAGCACATTAGCGACTGATATAAGAGCTGTGCTTGCTGGAGCACCAGTCATGGACAGTGGCTTAGTTCTTTGCTGACCAAAGCCTAGACCCATCCTATTATCTATTTCTTTTTTGTCCTGTTTGTACAGCTGCTGCACATGGGCTTATATTTGGTATAATGAGATGGGGCAGATAAAAAGTTGGACAGTTTAGTGAAAAAGCAGTTGTATTTGTCAGGACTATCTTGGTAATATGTGCAGGCCCAATTCACACTACACTGAGCAAAAAGGTAACTCATTGTCTCCCATAACTGAGAATAAACTCCAGGCATGGTTGAAACAAGGAATTCTTTGTTTCTCTGTTCTCTTTTCCTCTGTTACCTTAATTACTCCTTCCCTTTTTCCCATTTTATAACACAGATGACAATCAGAATTTCACACTCATAAAAAGATATTTTCCTCAAAAGTTCTGTCAGTATCCTAGGAAGGCCTCTGTCCCAGACTGGTGTGATTTGGTGGGAGTAGAGAGTTGCAGTTAGGTTAGATGCCTACCGAATGGCATCAGTGGGTGACTGAAGCAGCCTCGCCTGAACTACATGGACTGCGAAGATTCCCTCAAAGGGATTCTGGGCACACAGACACCTACACAAACACAACCCAGAAATGCATCACAGCAATGTTTTAGAAACTCTTTAACAGGATTATTGTAACTTTGGTCTGTGTGCAGAATTTGGTAATATTTTGATTTAATGGTTGTTTATAATCAGTCACTCTTATTTTTCACCAAACGGGCATCTTTTTAAAAGAAGACACAGAGGTAGTTGCTTAATAATTAAACAAAGACAACAAGCATAATCCAGAAGCATCCTGTATATTTCTTCTCCTGTATATTTCTTCTCCTACTTCACCATACTTCATCATCTGCTATCCTGGCGGTGTGACTGACTCACCCTCAGTGGGACCAACACACTTCATTGTTCAATTCTGATGGCCACTTCACAGGCACTTTTGTCTCCTGACAACCTGTTCAGATGTACGCCTGTCTTACTGTCGCTCTCACTGCCCTCTCAGCTTGTGATAACCCAACTTCAGCTCTCCAGACAGCGGCTGATTAGGTAGCCTGCTGTTCTTTAATCCCCACTTGTGCTCAAGTCAATGCAGTTATGAACGGCAAATGATCCTTCACAGCTCTTATTCTGGCTATGTCCCAGGATGCTGCTGTTATTGGTTTTATACTGGCACTTAATACATCAAATATGATTTAACGTTGACATTGATGAAAGAGCTTATGATGTTTTATGTTGCTGGGCTCATGACTAACAATTATCAGAACTTTTATGTCCTGGTGGGAATGCCAAGTAGAACGTAACTCTTTAGAATCTCAGGTTTTATTTTATCTTCTTGTCCCAGAAATAATATCATCAACCCCAAAGTCTTTAGTAGTTGTGCTTATTGAACATACATGTTATCTTATGAATGATTAAAAGATGTAAATGTATCAGGAATACATGACAGCACATATTGTGTATTTTGAATTGAGAATACAGAAGTGAAATTAAAAAATATAAATGGTATATGTTCACCACCTGTGAGATTATAGGGTGGTGGTGGTGAGACAGATATGCAAATCATTTTTCTTCAATGACTTATGTACAATAATGTGAGAATCTCCAAAGCACGATAGAAGTGTTCAGAATGGGTAACCATTTAGCAAGTGGACAAGGATGGGTGATTACTGTAGAAATAGAAAATAGCATATAGAAAACACCATGGTATGAGAACATAAAAAGTTAAAATGTCTTCTGTGGTGTTTGGTGGAGAGATGGGGAATCAAGCAGAAGCTGTGACAGTAGAAGGTGAGGCTGACCAGTAGCTGGTAAAAAACACTTATGAAGGGTATCATGTTAGACTGCACTTTCCAAGAGAAGGAGTTTCATAGTTGCAATCAGTTAAAACATAATTCAGGATTAAGCTAAAAAATAATTTGACTTAAACAGAAAAATCTAGGCAGTTTCTTGAAACTCAAGTGTGGCAATTCAGTAAGTCCTTAGAAACAGAAACAAGGAGAAGCGAGCCTATGAAGATGTCACCTTCTTTCACTTCTGTTCTTCTTAGTGTTTCTGTTTCATTATTTTCTTTCTAACTAGACCAGCTTTCTCTGCTTCACAGTTCACACAGAAGACATAGCCATCATTCAACTACTGAGTCCAGCAATTGGAAGAGACTAATCTTTCTTCATCACAATTCCAAATTTCTAGAAGAAAGAATATAATTGGCCCAGCTGTTTTAACCCTTGGTATAATCAACTGCAGCCAGGGGCATAGATTTACTTTAATGTATGAACATTACTGCCTGGGCCTTACCTCTGAGGGTGAGGAAGCTGGAGTATTCTGTGAGTTAGGTAAATACTTACCCTGCCCACTGTGAAATCACTGAAGAAATTAAGAATGATATAAACAAATTTTCTTGTTATAAGATCACTTTGGTAACTGGGAAGATGGCCGAATAGGAACAGCTCCGGTCTGCAGCTCCCAGAGAGATCAATGCAGAAGGCACTGCATTTCCAACTGAGGTACCCAGCTCATCTCATTGGGACTAGTTAGACAGTGGGTGCAGTCCACGGAGGGCAAGCCAAATCATGGTGGGGCATCGCCTCACACGGGAAGTGCAAGGGGTTGGGGAACTCCCTCCCCTAGCCAAGGGAAGCCATGAGAGACTGTGCTGTGAGGAAAAGTGCATTCCAGCCAAGATACTATGCTTTTCCCACAGTCTTCACAACCACCAGACCAGGAGATTCCTCAGGTTCCTACACCACCAGGGCCCTGGGTTTCAAGCACAAAACTGGGCAGCCATTTGAGCAGACACTGAGCTAGCTGCAGGAGTGTTTTTTCTTACCACAGTGACACCTGCAATGCCAGCAAGACAGAACCGTTCACTCCCCTGGCAAGGGGGCTGAAGTCAGGGAGCCAAGTGGTCTAGCTCAGCGTATCTCACCCCCACCGAGCCCAGCAAGCTAAGATCCACTGGCTTGAAATTCTTGCTGCTAGCACAGCCATCTGAAGTCAACCTGGGATGCTTGAGCTTGGGGGCAGGAGGAGCGTCTGCTATTACTGAGGCTTGAGTAGGCAATTTTCCCCTCACAGTGTAAACAAAGCCGCTGAGAAGTTTGAACTGGCTGGAGCCCACTGCAGCTCAGCAAAGCCACAGTGGCCAGATCGCCCCTCTAGATTCCTCCTCTCTGAGCAGGGCATCTCTGAAAGAAAGGCAGCAGCCCCAGTCAGGGCTTATAGATAAAACATCTGTCTTCCTAGACAGAGCACCTGAGGGAAGGGGCAGCTGTGGGCACAGATTCAGCAGACTTAAACATTCCTGCCTGCTGGCTCTGAAGAGAGCAGCAGATCTCCCAGCATAGCATTCGAGCTCTGCTAAGGAACAGAATGCCTCCTCAAGTGGGTCCCTGATCCCCATGCCTCCTGACTGGGAGACACCTCCCAGCAGCGGTCAACAGACACCTCATACAGGAGAGCTCCAGCTGGCATCTGGCAGATGCCCATCTGGGATGAAGCTTCCAGAGGAATGAACTGGCAGCAATCTTTACTGTTCTGCAGCCTCCACTGGTGACACCCAAGCAAAAAGGGTCTGGAGTGGACCTCCAGCAAACTCCAGAAGACCTGCAGCAGAGGGGCCTGACTGTTAGAAGGAAAACTAACAAACAGAAAGGAATGGCATCAACATTGACAAAAAGGAGGTCCACACAAAAACTCCATCAGAAGGTCACCAACATCAGACACCAAAGGTAGATAAATCATCTAAGATAAGGAAAAACCAGCACAAAAATGCTGAAAATTCCAAATACCAGGATGTCTCTTCTCCCGCAAAGGATCACAACTCCTCACCAGCAAGGGAATAAAACTGGAAGAGAATGAGTTTGATGAATTGACAGAAGTAGGCTTCAGAAGGTGGGTAATAACAAACTCCTCCGATCTAAAGGAGCATGTTCTAACCCAATGCAAGGAAACTAAGAACCTTAAAAAAAGGTTAGAGGAATTGCTAATTAGAATAACCAGTTTAGAAAAGAACATAAATGACCTGATGGAGCTGAAAAACACAGCACGAGAATTTCATGAAGCATACACAAGTATCAATAGCTGAATCAAACAAGTGGAAGAAATGATATCAGAGATTGAAGATCAACTTAATAAAAAAAAATGTGAAGACAAGATTAGAGAAAAAAGAATGAAAAGGAATGAACAAAGCCTCCAAGAAATATGGAACAATGTGAGAAAACCAAACTTATGTTTGATTAGTGTGTCTGAAAGTGATGGGGAGAATGGAACCAAGTTGGAAAATATTCTTCAGGATATTATCAAGGAGAACTTCCCCAACCTAGCAAGAGAGGCCAACATTCAAATTCAGGAAACACAGAGAACACCACAAAGATACTCTTCGAGAAGAGCAACCCCAAAGACACATAATCGTCAGATTCACCAAGGTTGAAATGAAGGAAAAAATGTTAAGGGCAGCCAGAGAGAAAGATCTGGTTACCCACAAAGGAAAGCCCATCAGACTAACAGTGTATCTCTCTTCAGAAGCCCTACAAGCCAGAAGAGAGTGGGGGCCAATATTCAGCATTCTTAAAGAAAAGAATTTTCATCCAGAATTTCATATCCAGCCAAACTAAGCTTCATAAGCAAAAGAGAAATAAAATCCTTTACAGACAAGCAAATGCTGAGACATTTTGTCACCACTAGGCCTGTCTTACAAGAGCTCCTGAAGGAAGCACTAAATATGGAAAGGAAAAACTAGTACCAGCTACTGCAAGAACATAACAAATTGTAAAGACCATCGACACTATGAAGAAAGTGCATCAACTAATGGGCAAAATAACCAGCTAACATCATAATGACGAGATCAAATTCACACATAACAATATTAAAATGTAAGCAAAAAGAACAAAGCTGATGGCATACTGCTACCTGACTTCAAACTATACTAAAAGGCTACAGTAACCAAAAGAGCACGGTACTGGTACCAAAACAGATATACAGACCAATGGAACAGAACGAGGCCTCAGAAATAACATCACACATCTGCAAGCAACTATCTGGACAAACCTGACAAAAAACAAGCAGTAAGGAAAGGATTCCCTATTTAATAAATGGTGTTGGGAAAACTGGCTGGTCATATGCAGAAAACTGAATCTGGATCCCTTCCTTATTCTTTATACAAAATTAACTCAAGATGGATTAAAGACTTAAACATAAGATTTAAAACCATAAAAACCTTAGAAGAAAACCTAGGCAATATGATTCAGAGCAAAGACTTCATGTCTAAAACACCAAAAGCAATGGCAACAAAAGCCAAAATTGACAAATGGGATCTAATTAAACTAAACAGCTTCTGCCCAGAAACAGAAACTATAATCAGAGTGAACAGGCAACCTATAGAATGGGAGAAAATTTTTGCTATCTATCTATCTGACAAAGGGCTAATATCCAGAATCTACAAGGAAGTTAAACAAATTTGCAGGAAAAAGCAAACAACCTCATCAAAAAATGGGCAAAGGATATGAACAGACACTTCTCAAAAGAAGATATTTTTGCAGCCAACAAATATATGAAAAAAAGCTCATCATCACTGTTCATTAGAGAAATGCAAATCAAAACCACAGTGAGATACCATCTCATGCCAGTTAGAATGGAGATCATTAAAAAGTCAGGAAATGACAGATGCTGGAGAGGATGTGGGAAATAGCAATGCTTTTACACTGTTGGTGGAAGACAGAGTGGTGATTCCTCAAGGATCAAGAAACAGAAATACCATTTGATCCAGCAATCCCACTACTGAGTATATACCCAAAGGATTATAAATCATTCTACTATAAAGACACATGCACACGTATGTTTATTGTGGCACTATTCACAATAGCTAAGACTTGGAACCAACCCAAATGCCCATCAATGATAGACTGGATAAAGAGAATGTGGCACATACACACTACGGAATACTATGCAGCCATAAAAAAGGATGAGTTCATGTTCTTTGCTGGGACAAGGATGAAGCTGGAAACCATCATTCTCAGCAAACTAACACAAGAACAGAATACCAAACACTGCATGTTCTTAGTCATAAGTGGGAGTTGAACAATAAGAACACATGGACACAGAGGGAGAACATCACACACCAGGGTCTGTTGGGGGTGAGGGACTAGGGGAGGGATAGTATTAGGAGAAGTACCTCATGTAGACAATGGGTTGATGGATGCAGCAAACCACCATGGCTTGTGTATACCTATTTAACAAACCTACATATTCTGCACATGTATCCCAGAACTTAAAGTATAATAAAATAAATAAATTAATAAATTTTAAAAAAGAGATCACTTTGGTTGCATATCTAAGGATGGGTTGGTAAACTAGGGTATATTGAAATAGTCCAAGTTACTAATAGAAAGGAGATTATCTTGCATTTTAGCCTCTATCAGCATAAGTGAAAGAAGAACAGGGATAATTCTCTCTATACTCCCCCTCATCCTAGATTTGACTGATGCCCTACCATGTATCTATATGCATTCTCTATTATTTATTTCCCTGGAAATAGAATTTCTTATGAAAAAAAAATTTACACCCTTAACTGAGGCAACCTGTGTTGAATTTTTGAATCTTGACATTAGCTCAAAAGACCTTTGGGTTGCTATCAAACATATGCCACATTGCTAACATAATAGACTCATAATAATCAAGATCATAAGACTGGAATATAACAGGAGAAATTCAATCCATTAATTTATAATAAAAATACAAAACCTGTTCCAGGCGTGCCAATACTCAAATTGGCCATTGCTTTCTTGAGTTATACAAGAAACCATATCATAATCTGAAGGTTGCTTAATGTTAATTTGAAATCAGGGCAAAGGGAATTGGCTCAATGTATCAGTCTGTTCTCACACTGCTATAAAGATACCACCCAAGACTGCGTAATTTATAAAGGAAAGAGGTTTAATTGACTTTAAGTTCCCCATGGCTGAGGAGGCCTCAGGAAACTTACAATCATGTTGGAAGGAAAAGAGGCACATCTTACATGGCGGCAGGACAGAGAAGTGTGAGGAGCAAAGGGGGAAGAGCCCCTTGTAAAAATATCAGATCTTGTGAGAACTCACTATCACAAGAACACCATAAGGCAAAGTACCCCTTCCACCAGGTCTCTGCCCAGACACATGAGAATTAAGGAGATTACAATTCAAGATGAGATTTGGGTGAGGACACAAAGCCTATCAATATCACTCAGTAAATGTAATAATCATAGATAACATTTATTGATAGTGTGTATTTTATCCACATGAACTCTATGAAGAAGAAATATTGTCAGCCCCACCTGCAGATGAAGTTAAAACACTGATATCTGGGATATTATTTTGAAAGGCCCATGGCTATTAAATGGCAAAGCCAGATTTAAACCCTGGAAGTCTTTCTCCAAATATAGTACTTAGTCTTTGCCTCCAGAGTGCAATATAACTGGCCTTATTGGTAGTAAATGTTAAGGATCTATTTCCCGTTAACAATTTTTGGAGAAGTGTTGTGTTTGGTTTCCTCTGCAAGCCTCTGCTTTTAAGAAACTTAAATGTCTGACTTAAGTCCTCTTTCTGATGGACATTTTCTTTCTTCTTTCTTTGGTTATATTGGTACCTTCAGTAAAGATGTAATACAGCCTTAACTGGGAAGCTTTCTGTGTTTTTTAAGGTAGCTTTGCAACTTTTCATAGATATTCATTATGTGTTAATTTCACAGTTTAACTATCAAAGGGCGATTTAAATTCCAAATGTTTCCAAAATACTTTACTGTTGCCCTTAACAATGACAATGGCTACTAAATTTGTGGTAAAGGTTGAATATTATCTACCTATATGTTTGGGCAGTAGAATTATCCTATTTGCTGAAATGAAAAGTCTAGCCTTGTATTTAAGCATAAATCATTTTTTTTAATTTCTAAACACCTATTCCAAAATATTTTTAGAACATTTAAATATTTTCTTCATTGCTATTGTCTTGAATATTTTTCTCTTATGCCTTTCTTATTGTCATTTATCATTTCTTTTTTCTTTTTTTTTTTTTTGGATGGAGTCTCTCTCTTGTTACCCAGGCTGGAGTACAATGGTGCAATCTCAGCTCACTGCAACCTCTGCCTCCCAGGTTCAAGCGATTCTCCTGCCTCAGCCTCCCAAGTAGCTGGGATTATGAGCACCTGCCACCACACCCAGCTAATTTTCATATTTTTAGTAGAGATGGGGTCTCCCCATTTTGGCCAAGCTGGTCTCAAACTCCTGACCTCAAGTGATCCACCCACCTTGGCCTCCCAAAGTGCTGGGATTTTGGGCATGAGCCACCATGCCCAGCCTGCCATTTATCATATCTATCACTTTTCAAATCTTTACCACTTTCCCGTAAATCAACTAACTTAATTTTTCAGTCCTAATAAGATGAGAGAAGGGTCCATCTCATACTAAGCTCTTCCCAAACAATAAGCTGATGCATACCACAGCCTCTCTCATAACTGATATTAAGCAGTGGTCCTTGTAATTCTGTAGGGAACTCCTAAAAACTAGGGCTAGTTAGCACCCCTTCCCATGCACATTTAGATAGTTATACATTGTTCCCTACTCCTATTCCCTATCAACATTATGTTATCTTGTCATGTCCACTGGTTGGTACCCTAAGTACATGTCTATGGTCCATTGTGTTTTATTCTACATTTTAAAAAGAAAATAAAAATATACCATTCATGATTTATTTTTGCTTTAATGCAACTCAGGATTTTTGAGAATGATATTTGATAATATTTATGACAACTTACTACGAGGAAGTGGTTTTTTTTCTTCGTACAGGAAAATGAGGCACAGAGACTTAAGCAAATTGAAAATTACTTTAATAAGTGGCAGGTATGGATTTTATTCTTTGGTGCAGCTGTATTTTTCTTGTGAGTAATTGTTCTTAAGAATAGGTGGTAAGATTAATTGAATTAGGTTGGGCTGTCCTGTTTCTTTTTGCCAAATCTGTCAAAATATCTAGGTAATGATCTGCCTTAAGAAGAATTTAGCCATTTACATGATGGGTGGAATAAATTTCTACAAAAAATTCTTACTCCACCAGAAATTCTGGCCAGCATACAAATTCTGCAATCCATGTGTTCAAACCTAAAATACTCTTATCACATTTACACATGTGATTTAATCTTCCTAGACAGTTGGAGGAAACCTATGAACTTGAGCTTTAGGGATAGGAATGAGTATTAAATGAGTACCTTAAAATCAGAGAAATGTGGAAAATTGTTAACTTTTTATTAGTCATTTGGGAACCAGAACTAGAAGAATCACTGATTTGTCATACAAAGTTCCACAGCTATAGTTTTATAGTATTCAAAGGTCAAAGTTAGTTGTACCAGGACACTCAATCCCCATATATATGTCATCTGCAAACTTCCTGACAAAATTTTTAATTTCAGTAAAAGACACTAAGTTGTTAACACAAGGAAGAGCTGAGAGTAGTACATGCAAGATGAAGAGTGGGAATTGGGAAAGATTTCAGAGCAGAGGTGGATAGGAGAGTGGGTTGAGCATGCAAAATGGTTCAGCAGGTAGACATCTGGCATAGAGGTTAAAGTGGAACAATAACCCAGGTCTCAGCTGTGAGATGTACCTGACATCTTGGGTGGGTGGGACACGGGTGAAGTGTAAGTTGGAAGTAGCCTAGTTGAGATAGAAAACCAATGCAATAGTACAGTAATACTTCTTCCCAAATGGGATCCTAAATCCAGTCATAAAATTTGCCTTATTACAGACTGGTGCTGGTATTGAACATATTACAGAATGGGGAGAGGAGTAGGGAGAAAAGAGTCAAATAGCAGCAGATGCTGTGCAACCTCAGTCTCCTAGCCATTCAGGCTCTAGAGAATGTAGGCCAACTACCTGACCTTGGGAAAGGCTCTATTAGCTGGAAGTATAGAAGCAGACATCAGAAGAACTAATCTGAAGGATAGGACTCCAGTCAAATTCGTTGTGATTCAGGACCAATCAGCTTCTAGTTCTAATACAGGACTGGGGAAAAAAAGTAAAATAAAATAGGAACAAACATCACGATCCCAGTTGTATCTTTATATAGTTGTGAGTACCAGGGGGTCACTACTAGATACAATGACCTTGATTTTAGAGCAGCAGATGAACTCTAAGCCCCACTCATATGGGGTCAAGGCTTATGCTAAGTTACCTGGTATTCACAACTTTTGACATTAGATGTTTATTCAGTTTTCAGCAAATATTTATTAGGCAGCTACTGTGAAGTAGATGCTATCCTAGGTACAAAGAATACCAGGATGATAGAGACCTCACAGTTTAAACGAGGAGACAGAAAATAAACCATCAGTTGTGGTACATTATGAAAAGTATTACCATGAGAGAAGTGCATAAGCCGGTATAATTTTCCACTAGAAAGATATTTAAAGTGCCAGGTGCAGTGGCTCATGCCTGCAATCCTAGCTCTTTGAAAGGCCGAGGCAGGTGGTTCACCTGAGGTCAGGTGTTTGAGACCAGCCTGGCCGACATAGTGAAACCCCATCTCTACTAAAACTACAAAAATTTAGCCAGGCGTGGTGGCAGGCAACTGTAATCCCAGCTACTCAGGAGGCTGAGGCAGAATTGCTTGAACCTAGGAAGTGGAGATTTCAGTGAGCTGAGATAGTGCCACTGTACTCCAGCCTGGGCAACAAGTGAGGAAAAAAAAAAGAAAGAAAGAAAATAAAGATGTTTTAGACAAAATTTTAAAGGACTCTGAGTTAAATCAGCAAAGAGGAGGGCTTGACTCTTGAAAGAGTAGAAAAATACTCAGGCAGAGGGAACTTAATGCACAAAGACGTTAGTAATGAGACAGCATGACGAGTTTGGGGAACTGCAAATAGTTCACTTTGCCTGGCATTGATCAAGGAGGAAACATGGTAGTGAGAGATCAGGTGGTGGGGAGTGAGGGCGCAGGGTGGGGGTGAGGAGTAAGCAGAGGCTGGGCCATTATATAGGCATAGGATGACAGCTCCAAAGGTCAAGACCAGGTAGCTAAGTAAGTTAGGAGTCTAGAGTGTGTGTTGCCAGGGAAGACTTTGTAGAATGAGACAGGTATGACGTTCTGAGGGGATAATTTGATACAAAATAAGTGAGAGCTGCCTGGGGCAAGCAATAATAACAGAAGTCTGTCAGAGAGAGTCCACTCTGTAACCCCCATGACTTGTCCTTCCATGGGCAGGCTCTACTTTCACTCTTTAAATCTGTTTACAACCTCAAGGCAACTTTCAGCACGTCTTGACATTTTCCATTAGCAAAACTACAAGTGTAGATTTTGGTGAAAAGATAGAGAGACAGAGGAGAAGGTTTATATCACAAGTCACAATGCACTCCCCACATCTGTCTTCTTGGCTACGTGATATGTAGTCTTCTTCCCCTCATGCCTTGTCCAGTTCTCTTCCTCTTTCCTATGGCAAACACAAACGCATTTCAACTCCTCAAGCTTAAGCACCAGCTGACAAAGAAGTCCTGGAGGCCTATCCACTAAGCAGGCTTATGAAAGAAATCACAAATAGGGTCTCTCCTTTGAGGAAACCGCTTTGCTACCTGCTATAAAAAATAACATTTCCTTTGTATTGTTACAGTTGGTCACAATTCTCTCAATACTGCATTATTAAGTCTTCCTTCTCTCCTGATTTATTCCCAGCAGAATATAAACATACTGTTATTTATTTAATTTTAATTAAGTTTTATCTTGACACCAATTCCCCTGCCATCTATCACTTCATTTCTCTGCTTTTCTTTGTAGAAAATATTCTAAAAATTGTTGTCTGTATATATAATCATCAAATCCTTGCCCCCGCCTTAATTAGTTCAGGCTGGTATAACAAAGTACCATAGACTGGATGGCTTATACACAACAGATATTTCCTACAGTTCTAGAGGCTGAAAGTTTGAAGTCAGGATGCCCGTATCATCAGGTTCTATTGAGAATCTTCTTCTTAGTTGTGGAGGGCCACCTTTTTGTATCCTCACAGATAGAAGGAGAGTGAGCTAGCTCTCTGGCCTCTTATGGTAAGGACACTAATTCCATTCATGAGGGCTCCACCTTCATGACCTAATTACTTCCCAAAGGCCCCATCTCTAAGTGCAATAACACTGGGATGAGAGTTTCAATATGAATTTAGGGGGAACACAAACATCTGGTGGACTGCACCTTGCATTCTCACTTAAGCTCACTCTAATCAAGTTTTAACCTCCATCACTCCACGGAAACTTTTCTTGGCAAGATTGCCAATGACCTCCAGATTGCTAAATTCCACAGCCAATTTTCAGCCTTCATTTACATGACATACCAGCAGTATTATTCTCTGCTTCTTTGTCATGATTTCTTCACTTGACTTTCAGGGTACCCCACATTTTTAGTTTTCTTCTTATCTTAGAGATCATTTCCTGTCATCTCCGAGTCTTCTTTGTTTATACTCACTTCTGTGATGATCTCATCCAATTTCATGTTTTTAAAACTACTCTCAAATGAATAGTTCATCCCAGACCCTACTGGATCTTCAGACACCTATATCCAACTGCCTACTCCATCAGATCTCCAGTGAGACGTTAGTAGGCACCCAAAACTTAACATATCCAAACACAGCCTTCCCAGTCAGCTGATGGCAACTCCATTTTTTAAGTTCTCACTTTAATGTATATCCTTTGCCTGGAATGTTCTTCTGTTTATCCACATGGCTTACTCTCTCATCCCCCATGACCACCCTATTTAAAATTGTAGCCCTCCCTTAAGCTTCAGATTCCTCTTGCATTGCTCTATTTTTTTCTGTTGCACTTATCGCCTTCTAACATACTCTACAATTTACATATTTATGACACTGATTTCTTATTCTCTGTCTCCCTCCACTAGAATATAAACTCCAGGGAGGCAGGGATTTTTGTCTGATTAGTTCTTGGCTGTATTGCAAGTGATTAGCACATGTCTAACACATGGTAAGAGCTCAAATACATTTGTTGAATGAATGAATGAATGAATGAAATGGTCTTTAATCTTCAGAAGCTTGTAGTCCATTTGGAAAAATAAATTATATGTTACAAAAAGAATATCTGCCAGTACCAGACAAAATGTGCCAAGTGATAAGTGAGTAGAATAGACCCAAAATGCTAAGGCATTGTTTTTTCTAAGGATTCAGAAGACTGGGCTCAATTTGAATTATTCATTCTGGGGAAAATTGATCATAATCTAGGAAAGTGAAGATGAGAGTGAAACATTTTAGATGAGAGCAATTTAGGGTCTCAATTCCATTTCATTTCTGAATTTAAAAGAAAGCTATTTGTTGCCAAAAAAAAAAAAAAAAAAAGAAAAAGAAAGAAATACAAAAAGAGTTCATTCTAACTGGAGGTCTCTTTCTTCTTTGTCTGCAGAAGTGCAAAACAATGCTCCACTAATGGGTCTTTTGTTTAATGCATATGCGATGGCTGTTACTAGGTGCTAGGGGGTGGGGAATGGGTCGTGGGATGTACTGAAGGAAAGAAGAAATTGGTCTGTAAGCCCCATTTCAAATCAGATATTTTTCAAGTCAGTTAACTGCAAAATAAAGGGGAGAGGGAATTAAAATAGTTCCTTAGAAACAAAAGAAAAAGGGAAAAGCTTTTAGCAAATGTGAAAAAATCATGCTGGCATTGATAATGGGCCACTTAGGAGTGATTATTTCTAATGGAGCAAAGAGGGAGGGCAGATAATGGGAGGTTCAGGCTGGAGTCTCCTCAAAGAGACCCTGGGCTCACCAACCATCACTTTTGCTTGGGGCTTGACCTGACTTTCTGCTAATGCACCTCACTCCCTGCATCAGCTGTTTCTGGGCACAGCTGATTATGGATGAAACAGTTTTTGGTACAGCTTCTCTTTGTCGACTGAGTATTCTTTGACAGGGGAATTTGGAGACTTAAACTGAAAAGGAGGTGGTTAAAGTTGATCTTTGCTCTAAGATTCCCCTCTCTTATCCTTTTCCTCACATTGGTGACCCCTCTGGTGCTTCAGAAACCAAGTGGTCAGCACGCCTTTTTCCTCTCCTTCTAGCCAAACAGTGGAAAATATCTTTCTGGTCATTTAGATGGATATCCTTACTAATTGGTTTCCAATGTTTCCTTTCTTGGAATTATTAGTATTTTAAACCTTTGCACTTTAGTTATGGTCAGAAAAATCCTATGTGCTCTGAAAGGGAAAGGAGAATTTAAGTACCTAAGTTCATTCTAATAAAGAGGTCCAACCTGCTTTCAGGCTGCTTTGGTCAAAGGAAACAGTAATTTGTCTGGACTCCCCAGGAAGCCCTGTTGCAAAGAGCTTGTCTAGGAGCACTTAATGAGCCTTAACTGTGTGAAATTTACTTCTAGAAGATCTAGAGATGGAAAAAGGGATCATCTGGCTTTTACTGATCTCCTTTGCAGTCCTAATGTGTAGTTTCTGCTCAGACTTGGTACCAAACTCCACCCACTTTCACCCTTCTGCACCTTTCCCTTCCTCAGCCCACAGCATCAGTTGTCAGTGATCCAGAATCATACTCTGGGCTTTCTCCCTTTACTCTTAGCTGGCACCTGGTCTAATTTCCCTGACTCTACCCTGAAGCACAGTAACACTGCTGGTGCCTTGAACATTTTATAAACTCATTTACCTGTTTGCTATAATCTTAAATCTCCAAGATTATTATAAGGAGGGTATCCAGAGTTTAGGAAGGTGACTCAGTTCGACTAATTTATGAGAATACAGGTAGGAAATTAAATGTGGCTTGTACTTGTATGTAGACTGGGTCTTCTAGAAGGGTGAAAGCTGATTATCAGCTAGTAAACATCTCTATGATGTACGAGCTGTTGGTTGCTGTCTGTAAGATCACTTGTTAAACATGTTTAATATTACTCCAACCCACGTGATCCAGAGGAAAAGCAGTGGCATGACAAAAGCATGGACTTAAGATTGAGTCAAACATGGGTACCAAGCACTGTGTGACCTTGGGCACGTTGCATAACTTCTTTACTTCTTCAATGCTCTCTGTGAGTTTTCTGTACTTCCTGAGGGGATTGAGGTGATGGAAATAAAATATGCTATCACAGTTTCTGGAGCTAGTATTATGTCACTTGTTTGTCTTTTGTTTTTATCCCAGGACCTAAACTACCTTCTTGAAAGGAAGAGAGGAGAGAGCACAGTTAGAAGGAAGCTTCCGGAGAGAATGATTCTGGTAAGTACTCAGAACATTTAGTGATATGGTTTGGCTGTGTCCCCACCCATATTCTCACCTTGAATTGTAATAATCTCCACGTGTCAAGGGTGTGGCCAAGTGAAGATAATTGAGTCATGGGGCAGTTTCCCCCATACTGTTCTTGTGGTAGTGAATAAGTCTCACAAGAACAGATGGTTTTATAAATAGGAATTCCCTTGCACAAGCTTTCTTGCCTGCCACCATGTAAGACATGTCTTTCCTTTATCTTCCACCATGTTTGTGAGGCCTCCCCAGCCAAGTGGAACTGTGAGTCCATTAAACCTCTTTCCTTTATAAATTACCCAATCTCAGGTATCTTTTTATTAGCAGTATGAGAACAGACTAATACATATAGTTTCTTCTCTAATTCTCTAACGATATAAATAATTTAAAAAGTAGAATTGTTATCTCAAATGATAAATAAATGAAATCAAGGGTTGATAAACAATCTTTATGCTTTGAATTCAATCTTTAGTTTATCATGTAAATTGTTATTTGGATTGAAGACAGTGAATAGCATGGTGCATGGTATGTTGGCTCATCACTTTAAAAAAAACTAAAAAATATTTCAAAGGAAATTTTTATATTCATTTCCCAGAGAAACCATGATAACTTAGGAAAAATATTTCTACATAGATGTAAGGTAATATGGCCTAACAATTCATGGTTTCTGATGATTAAATTAATAGAATACAAAAGTAGATCTTGGAGAATCTGGATCAATAAACAGTTTATATCACTTTTGGTGTAATGCAGATCTCAAATGTGTCCTTTATTTTTGTATTCCTAGAACCTGGAACAGTGACAGGCATTTAGTGTGTATTTAACAAATGGTTATGTGAATGAATATAATCATCGGTAGTCCAATTCCACTTCCAATTGTACTGAGTCTATTTATAGTAGTTTCTAAGATATAGACTTCTAAATCATATCTAAAGTTACAGCATATCTTTACTGCAAGTCTGAAACATAATTATTTAATGAAAAATAATGATTAGAAATATACTCAAATGAAGCCAGTGATCCATCAGGGGTGATGTTGCCTCTAGGGGACATTTGGCAAAAAGTCTGGAGATATTTTTAATTGTCACAACTGGGGATGAGAACTACTACTAACATCTACTGGGTAAAGGTTAGGGATGCTGGTAAACATTTTACAAAAAATAGCCCCCCATGACTTCAACTAAACAGCACCAAGGTTGATAAACTCTTGCCTAAGCCATGAATATTTGAGACTAGCACTTAGCACATCACAGTGATATGTAATGTTGCCTTCTGCTTCCTACACTGAATGATTAATATACTAGTTCATAAGATGTGTTTTCCAGTCATTTAGGTACATTTTCTAATATTGAACTTTATATTGCCTGCCCTTTTAAAATATGGCAGAGGCTATTCATCTTTAGTTAAAAACAAATAAATAAAAAATACAAATAACTGAGTCGTATGAAGTACATTTTTATGACATTATGCATCCTTCTTGTAGTGACATTATGCTGGTTCAGATATAATCTGCATCCTTTCTAAAACTGGAGACACTATATACCATTTACTCATCTCTGCTTGTGCCTTATTTATATGGCTGTGATTTCTTATATCTCATAAAACAAAATATTGGCTTAAAGTGCACTTCTATAGCCTGGGAGAAGGCCTTGGATCTTCAAAAATGCATACAGTGCAAAAGTGGCAAAGATTATAGCAAACAATTGCTTCTATTTAATGTTTTCCACATGTCTTAACTTCTGTCTACCTGGAGTTAACTGTCTACAGTGGAGCTCTGTCTTGAGGAGATGTGTAGATAGCTGTGGACCCTAGCCTCTTGTTTAGCATCAGCTGCAAAGTCTCTCCTCATCTACCAATACACATAGAAGCTTGTTTCTTTCTGTTTTACCTCTTTGTTTTTTACATTTTGTGTCTGTTATGAACAGGTATAGCGTTCAGTGAAGAACCTGACTATTAGATTCAACATTTTGGGTTTAAATCCTTATTCTGACACTTGTACTTTCCCTCAGAAAAGTTTCATAACATCTTTAAGACTCAGATTTTACATTTTTTTATATAGGGAGACTAAACAGAGTTGCCATGAAAACAGAAAAACGAGAAATGCATGCTAAGTGTTTAGACTGTTACTGGCATGCAGCGAGCTTTCAATAGCTGTTGTTGTCATGATGATTATTATGTTTACCTCTCATGTTTTATATCTCTTTCTTGTCTCTCTTCTCTGTGCTCATAGTAATGAGGTAATTTCCTCTCCAAACTCTGTTCATCTCTCCTTTCCTCTCCTTTCCATCTATTCCTGTTTGAGGGATGAACATTTCAAGATGATGCTAGCAGAGACAGAAATGTGGCAGTTTTAATTTCTCTATCAGGCGGGAGATTTAATGTATTCCACTGACAAAGAATCTCAAAAGTAATGCCCAATTGCCTGTGGTGATATCTTTTGCAAATTTTGAAATGTAGAGGAAGAATATTTACAGAAATATTGCTGTTGTAATATAAAGCAATTTAATATGTTATTCTTACTTTTTTGGCTTTTGTTTTCAATTTTATTCTAATTAAAGTAAACTAAAATATATGTACTTAAAGTGTAAAATTTGATTAACTTTGACATTATGATATAATTACCATAGTCAAGATAATACATATTTTCATAACTAAGGGTTTTTCCTGCCCTTTGTAATTATGCTTACTTTTTACCTTATCTGAAGTCCAGGAAGTAAGAATTTACTAAATTCAGCAACATATGTAAATCTTGTCCTGGCTAAACTAGATGCACAGCATTATAATTAGATCATCAAGAAGATACAAAAACTTTCTCTTTTAAAATCCAAGTAGGGGATGTAGTTGTGTCAGAATATAGTTATTGGACTCTGAACTGTATAGTATTTATCTATTAGTTCACTCCCCAAATGTGCATTAAGCATCTACTACAAGCCATGCCCTGATCCAGGAGGTGAGGACACAGTTCTAAAGAAAACGCATTCTCTGCCCTTGTGGAACAGCTTACTGGGGAGAGAAAAGTAAGCTTACTGGGGAGAGAAAAGTCTTATGAGAAGAATGGGCAGTCACAGTTTACACATCTTAATGTAATGCAAAAAGAAATGGCAGAAATATAAAATGTTGTCCAAAGCACTAGGTGGCGATAGAATTTATCACCAAAAATGTATAAATATCATATATGCATAATAAGCCTTCAAAAATAAAGATAAATTTTTATTATTAACTGTAGTGTTAGTCAGTAAAGAGCAGAAAGGATACTAACATTCAACATAAATGTGCACTGATGCATCTTAAAATATTCTATTACCATTAAAATTCTTAGAAGGATAAGGACTAATCAAGAGCAATAAAGTTCAAGCTTTTTTACATAATGCTGCAATAAAAACCCATCAACTTGTAAAATCAGATCTATAAAAGAAAATTTTCAACTAATTGAACAAGTTCATTTATTTTTAAAGAAAATGACAAATGGCATACACTTGCTTAAGGGAGATGGAGAATTATTACATTATGCTTTAGTTTTGTTGAACAAAAATGGTTTATATTTTGAAGGTATCAAGTATTTTAAAATTTTGATAAGCAAACCTTTAGAAAGACAAACGGCCTCTCCCATCTTTATTGTTTAACGTACTATGTGCCACTTATTTTATATACCTTGTCTCATATGAGATTCAAAACAACCTTGTTATGTATTGTAGTTTCCCACTTAAGAGAAAAATTGATGATGGCTAGTTATAACACAATAGCTACTGACAGGGAAGCTAATCTCCTGAGAGAGAGAGCAACAGCATATACCTTTAGCAGAGTAAACATCTGTCACAATTAAGTAAATAATTGACATGATGAATTAAGCTTCTTTGTAACACTATAGTTTAAGAGGTAAATATAAAAATAGTTACAATGACTCATTTGGGTAAGATTATGGTTGATTTTAGTTTTTTTTTTTTTCTTCTTATTCTGTTATCAAGGCTTTCTACAGCCATTATTATGTCTTACTTGTTGTACAGTCAGGATAGGGTAAGTTATGTTTACATGTCTCAGGGGCTAAACAACAGGCAAGTTTATTGCCGTTCCTATTGTTTGTCTAGCATGGATTGGTAGGGTGGCTTTGCACCTTACAGTTACTCCAGTACCTCCATCAAGAATCATGTTCTCATCATTACTATAGCATGGAGAAGAAAATGTGACAAACTGATAACTGACTTTTGAAACAGTCACCAAGAAATATTTCAGTACTTTGCTCACATTTCACTGGCAAAAGAAAATCACATGGCTTTGCCTAACCTCAAAGAGGGTGAGAAAATGCAATTCTGTTCTATGCCTGAGACCAGAGCTAGATATATTTGGTAAATAGCACCAATAACTACAAAACTTAATAACCTTTTAATGTTCTAAATACATTATATGAATTAAAAATTCCATACTCAAAAATTCATTATATCACTTTTTCCTAAAAAGTTAATTGATTCTTGGTAAGCAGCATTATGAGGCCTAAATCAAGACTGTTCTTTGGAACCTATTTATGCCTCCAACCTGTCCAGTGATATTTAATAATTTCAAATTCCAGCCACAGCCTCTTCTACAGGGCTGCTGGTGACTAACCTACTTTAGTCTTATATGGTTATATGCTCTGATTTTCAGTCTTGCCAGTCCCTTCATGATCTCTTTTGATCCATTTGTCTTTATTCTTGGGCATCTCTAGATGATGTCTGGTGTATCAACCTCAGTAGATGTTTCATCATGCTACCAGTTCACCATACCATTTCACAGCTCTGTACACTTGCATTTCCTATCTTACCTACTCTTAACATTACTTGAGACCCAGTTTAAATGTCATCTCTGTTTAGTTCTCCAACCAACTGGATCTCCTTGATTTCAACTTCCAGTTTGCCATAACACTTTTATATAACTCTCTTTTAGCATTTATCATACTGTACTGTAATTTATTTGTAACACTAGTGTTTAAGTATTTGGAGAATCAAAACATCTTATTCACATTTGGTTCTTCTTTGGCCAAGGAAGTGCTTGATAAGATATTACTTTATATAGTTGTATATGTCATCAGTATATAAAGTTTATAAAGAAAAAATAATTTTCAGACAAATAAGGAAGTGAGCTCAAATTAAAGAATGTGATGGACCCTAACTGAAGCAGCAAATGTACTGCTATAGAAAGAATCTATGTTAGTTGATTGGCTACTAAATAGACTAATAAATTGACAAATAAATGTTGTTTTATTTATAAAGTATATTTTAGTATAACTCAAATTTCCTTGGTTTTAAAAATATGAGTACATTACTCAAAGTGATCTATAGATTTAATGTACTCTCTATCAAAATTCCAATAAAATTTTTTGCAGAAACAGAAAAACTCAGCTAAAACTTCATATAGAATCTCAAGAAATCCTGACTAGCCAAAACAATCTTAAAAAAGAACAAAGTTGGAGATCTCATAGTTCCTGATTTCAAACTTATTACAAAGCTAGTTAAAACAGTATGATACTGGCACAAAGGCAGACATATAAACCAATGGAATAAAATAGAGAGCTCAGAAATAAACTCTCACATATGTGGTAAAATAATTTTCATTTTCAACAATAAACTCTAACATATGTGGTCAATAAATGACAAAAGAATAGTCTTTTCAATAAACAGAGATAGGGAAACTGGATATCCACATACAAAAGAATAAAGTTGGACTCTTACTCTTCAAGATAGAAAAAAAATTAATTCAAAAAACATAAAAAACCTAAATGTAAGATCTAAAACTATACAACCCTTAGAAAAAAACATAGGGGAAAATCTTCATGACATTAGATTTGGCAATGATTTATTGAATATGACAGCAAAAGTATAGGTTTAAAAAAAGTAAAAATAAACTGGATTATGAAATTTAAAAATTTGCATCAAAGGACACAACCAACAACGTGAAAAAGCAACCCATGGAATAGAAGAAAACATTTGCAAATAATATATCTGATAGTCAGTTAATATCCAGAATATAGAAAGAATTACTGAAACTCAACAACCAATGAATCAAACAGCTAAAATAAAAAAATCAGCATACAACTTAAACATTTCCCCAAATAAAATATTCAAATGATCAATAAGAATATAGAAATGTGTTTAACATCATTAATCATGAGGGAAATGCAAATCAAAACCACAGTTAGATATCACCTTACACCCATCAACATGAGTACAATTAAAATATATATATATGTTAGTGAGGATACGGATAAGTTAGAACTCTTGTGCACTGTTGGTAGGAATGATGTTATATCCATTATGGAAAACAGTATGATGGTTCCTCAAAAAGTTCAACAGAGAAGTAATATATGATCCAGCAATTCCACATCTGGGTATATACTGAAAAGAATTGAGAACAGGGCCTCAAAGAGATATTTGTTTACCCATGTCCATAGCAGCATTATTTATAATAGCTAAAAGGTGGAAGCAACCCAAGTATTTGATGAATGAATGAATAATATGTGACACATACATACAATGGAATATAATTGAGCCTTAAAAACAAAGAAAATTTCGACACTTTACAACACAGCAACATCGATGAACCTTGAAAATACTATTTTAAGTGAAATAAACCAGTACAAAAAGACAAACACTGTATAATCGATTTCTATGAGTATCTAGAGTATTTAATTCATAGAAACAGAAAGTAGAATGGTGGTTTCTGGAGACTATGGAAAGAGAAATGGAGAATGGTTGTTTAGTGCATACAAAAGTTTAGTTTTGCAAAATAAAAAAGTTCTGGAGATTGGTTGCACTACAATGTGAATATTTTTAACACTACTGAATTGTACATTTAAAAATGGTTAAGATGGCAAATTGTATGTGTATTTTACCACAATTACAAATTTTAAAAATCTGAATACAAGATTATGGTACTGTTATACATGTTCTAAGAAAACTACAAATGTTTAAGTGTCTCTACTCTGAAACAGAATTCTGTTTTATTTTGCAAAATTCTTTAAAAGTTAAATTAAAAAGTAAAACTATTTATATATGTATATTAAATGAGTACTACAGTATTATAGAACAGTTTTACAATGTCTTTGGTAACCAATTCTATTCTCCTAAATAGCGAAGCAGTTACAACAATAAATTAAACTGTACCAAGAAAAATGCAAACAATACCACAATAGATCACTTACTGTGCATGTAAACTTTGTCCTGCATAATTTGGATTTACTCTACCCCACATAAAAGAAAAAAGTCATTTTCAAGAATTATTGTTTAATGGCAGAGAAAACCATTCTATTTATCTCTGGTTTGCCAGTAGGCTCTGTGAATGCTTTTTGATCTTTGCTGTAGGCTAAAAGCACACGGAATCCTTTTTCAATAGTGTAAAAGCTCAGACCTGGACAATGTTTGGAAACCCTTTAGATTTGTCTTCTTAACACACAAATACAAGTATCTTTGCTAGGTTATTTCCTAATATATAGCAGTTGTTTTCTTTAATAATAGGAAAATTATGTTTAAAATTATATTTTAAATATTGATCTAGTCTCTTCGCTGAATTTCTAATGGCATCTGATGATATTTAAAAGAAAAAAAAGCTCATCATTTGTAATTTTCGGTCTCTCAATATGCCAGCAAGACAGCTCTCTGACCTTCAGCCATATTTTTGGAAAAGGAATTACAGCTTGTCATTTTTCATTGTGTTATTAATAGGGTAATTAACAAGTTAGTGTTAAGATTTTAAGAGCTGACTTAATTTTCTTTCTTTAATGCCAACTCAATTATTTCAATTGGATAAAAAGTTCATTGTGAGAGTGGAATGGGGAATTTGAAAAAAATACTTAAATGACAAGTCAGAATCATTGCACATGTAATTAATTAGTACTTTTTGTACATTTTTTAAAAGTTAAAAAGTAAAACTATTTTTAAATTTATATGAAATGGATATTATAAAACATTCTAGTAATATCAGATTGTTTTAAATCTCAATTTATACTTCACAATTTTTACTGTATTTACAGGGGACTGTTCTTCCTTCATATTAAAGCTAATTCAAAACCATTTTGAATACTCTTAAGGACAAGAATATTTAGCAGAATAATTGCTACTCAGTGTTGAAGTTCAGACAATTAAGTGTTTTTAAGAAGTGATTAATAATTTTGTCAGTGTTAAATCACTAAAAAATTATGCTTGTTTAAACATTTTAAATTTGTTTTACATACAAAATGATGCCTTTGTTTATCATATTGATAAGTTTGACTTAATGTCAATTTGTTTCAAAATATGAAAATTTGTATATTGGTCAAGATTGGCTAGATCAGTGATTCTCAAGTGGAGTTACTAAACTAATGGCATCACGATTACCCAGAAACTTATTAGAAAAAGAAATTATTAGGCCACAACTATACCTATAAAATCAGAAACTGGGAGTCAGTCTAGCAAGCAGTGTTTTATCAAGCCTTCCTAATGTTTTTAATACACATGGAAATTCAACGACAACTTGACTGGGTTATACTATAGTAAAAATCATCCCCCTTCCCAAATCACAGTGATTTAACAGAACAAGATTTCATATCTCATAAAAGCCAGGTCTGCTGTAGGTCCAGATAATTCTCCAGGTTAGCAATCTTTGATATTTTGGCGGTATTTTAGGATGCTTTGAACTTGAGCACAATTGCTATGTTGGGAAATGAATGAGTTGGAGAGGAAGAGCAAGGCAATTAAATGCATCCACCTGGAAGTGAACAATGCCACTTATCACATTTCATCAGCTAAAGCAATCCTCTTGGCCACAGCAAGGATTTGGAAACTGCAACTTTTTGAGGTTTAGAAGTGAAGATAACCAGAGATATTGGTAAATGTGAGGAATGCCTACTACAATTAGCTATGTTTCCAAATGCAAGCCCCTGAATATAACTCTAGAGTTACTGAATCATAGAGATTTGCCTAGGAATCTTTAGTTTTAACAGTAGCCCAGATATTTTATTCTGTGTTATGAATTAAATTTAAAAACAAGTGCTTTGAGTTATAACTGTAAGATATGTTACACAATAAGTTTTGTTTTCTCAAAAGAAAGATTACTGGGCTTACAAAAATACAAGTATTTATGAATAGTAAAATAATCCCTTTGGGGATAAGAAGAGGTATATGTTAGGCTTTGTATTTTCATTAGGGTTTGTTAGTCAGAATTCTGTTTGTAACAAGATATTATTAGTACGCATTTAATGCATTCATGCAAAAAAATTATTTGTTTGGTTCCTTTTTGAGTCACTGAAATACTATCCTAGTGGATACTGTTCCACTTCTAACTTGGAAGAACTCTGGAATGGACAATTAGCCTGTCTAGAATTTGAGTTTTAATTATTTTCTTGCATTCTGAAAAAGTTAGATGCTTAGATAATGTTATCTCTGAATATACCATATATACTATATATTTAAAACAAAGTAAAGTTTATAGAATGTTGAGTAGCAAATATTAGGTCCCAGAAAACAGAAAACTGTGTGTATGTATGTATGTATGTATGTATGTATGCATGTATTGAGATGGAGTGTCGCTCTCTCGCCCAGACTGGGGTGCAGTGGCACTCAATTTTTATGTGGACAAGTCCTTACACTGAACTATAAAGAGGAGAAATAAGTCTAACATGGTCATTTATTGAATACTTAACTAAAAATAAGTGATTCTGTATCAGAAATACCTCTAAAAAGTCTAGATCCTATCTGGATTAAATTTAAACCTAGGTTTGATACATGTGATACACTAGGTCAACATAACTGTCTTATAAAATCAGTTATCTGGCTGTGCTTGGTGGCTCACGCCTGTAATCCCAGCATTTTGGGAGGCCGAGGAGGGCAGATCACTTGATATCAGGAGTTTGCGACCCGACCAACATGGTGAAATCCCATCTCTACTAAAAAATACTAAAATTAGCCGGGCATGGTGGCACGTGCCTGTAGTCTCAGCTACTCAGGAGGCTGAGGCAGAATAGCTTGAATCCGGAAGGTGGGGGTTGCAGTGAGCCGAGATTGCGCCACTGCATTCCAGCCTGGCGACAGAGCGAGACTCCCTCTTAACAACAAGAAAAACGAACTTTTACGTGGACAAGTCCTTACACTGAACTATTTTTTGTTTGTGTATTTGTTTGAAACAGAATCTGACTTTGTTGCTCAGGCTGGAGTAGGGTGGTGCAATCATGGTTCACTGTAGCTTCAACTTCCTGGGCTCAAGCAATCATCTCACCTCAGCCTCCTGAGTAGCTGGGGTTACAGGTGAGTGCCACCACACCTAGCTAATTAATTTTTTTTTTTCTGTAGAGACTAGGTTTCACTATGTTGCCCAGGCTTACACAAAGCTATTTTAAAAGAAATGACATTATTGTTACTAAAACAGTAATGAAACATCTACATATGTCATCATATATCTACAGATCTACATACACACACACAACAAATGACAGATGTCACAATAGTCTTCTTTGGTTTTTAGATTTTCCCAAAACTCATCATCAAAACTAAAACGTGGCTCCTTTAGCTCAAAATTCTTAATCTATTTTCCCCGTGGTTATATTTTTTTCTCCTTGCTTTTTCTGAAACACTTTTCTTTAGATATGGCATAATTGCTTAGTTTATTCAAGTCTTAGTTCAAATGCCATTTTCTAAATAAGGTATTTTCTGGCAACCCTTCTTAATACTGCAATATTTCTTCCCATGTACTCCCTACACATCTCTCCTGCTTTATTTCTCTTCATAACACCTATCACGTTTGATACTATTGTGTACACATATTTATTTTGTTATTGTTTATCACCTTACATTAGAATGTAAGCTCCATAAGGCAAAGAATTTTTATCTATTTTGTTTACTTATATATCTCCGGTACCTAGAACAGTGCTGACACATACTAGATACTTGATAATTACTTGTGGAGTAAATAAAGTAATAAAACAAACAAACAAATCAGTAAATGAATAAATAGGTAAATAAATTGTAAGATATTTAGAGCTTCCATGACCAGGACAGCATCACTCCTGCTAAATTACTTATGTGAGGATGCTAAAAATAAGACTTACTACAGAAATGAAGATGAACTATTTTATCTACTAAAGTAACTCTTGCATCAAGAAATAATATTCTAAATATTAGAATATTTAGAAATAATTTATAAATATTTAGAAATGATATTCTATTTTAAGGTACATCTTACAGGTGATGAATAGGCCACCAAATGGGAAAGACACATCAGGCAGAGAGGACAACTTGTGCACAGCAAAGAGATTGAGACAGCATAGCATGCTTGGTAAGAGAGAGCTATAATTATTCAAGGAAAGCTGCAGCACAATATTAAGAGAAGGAATACCAGAAATTTAAAATCAGAGAGGCATGAGAGTGTCAATGATGGACACTGTATGTGTCATGCCGAGGAACAATTCGTTTTTCTCTGAACTGGGGAGACTATGAACAGCTTTAAGCTTGGGAATGACCTCATGAGACTATCATTTCAAAAAAAGACCCTTTTCTCTACGTCAGGTAGACACATTTAAATAGAGTAGCAGGCAGGGCGTTGTTTCAGCACTAAATGATATTAACTAAGACAGGGATAGAAGCTAGGAGTAAATTTGAGAAATGTGAGATAAAAATGGGAAGTCTAAATGATCAACTGAAAATAGAGGGTGAGAGAGAGGAAAGAATCTAGAATGATCACTAGGGATCTGATGTGGGCAACCCAATAAAGAGGGAAATTCAGGAGTAAAAAGCAAATTTCGGGCAAAGATACTGAGTTTGGCTTTTGTTATGTTGCGTTAGATGTACCTATGAGACATTCAAATAAAGATGATCAGTGATGGCTGGAACTGTGAATATGGAGGTCAGTACAAACAACTGAAAATGTAGATTGGTGAGTCTACAGCATACAGGTACAGAAACACGAGTCAAATGAAAGGTTTTAGGGAGAACGAGGTAAACAATGAGAAAACAAGACTGGGAATAAAATCTTGAACAACATCATGAGTTAAGAAATAGGAAAAGAAAAAGGAGTTTAAGAGTATGACAATGGGAATAAATGGCCAAAAAGAAGGAGGTAACACAGATAGAATGACAGTGCAGAAGCCAAAGCAAAATAATTTTTATTTTTGCCCTGAAAAAAGGAATGGTCAAAATTTTCAAGTGTTTCAGAGAGATGATACAAGAACTATCCTTCCCACTTCACCACATAGAAAGGAAGATAGCCAAGAACAAGGAAAGGCTGTAGGGGGCAGGAGGGCAGTACCTACCAAAAATGTGCATGCCAATATGCTTAAATTTAGAAAAATGTAAATTAAAAAATGGCAGTGTTTGACTATCACCAGAATTATTCTTCCTTCACATTTCCCCGCCCCCCCAAAATGCAAATATTATTGAGGTTTAGTATAAGACTTGCTCCTTCTACATTTTTAGATCTAGTGTGGATTTATTTCACTATCTACAGAAACATGAATTGTGTGATTGCTACAGATTCAAAATTTGATTTTTGTCTTTCCGTGTTGGCATATATTTTAAAGGTTTTAAAACTTGAGAATTAGTCCTATAAACATATTTGTAAATATTCACTATTATTTAATCAGAACCCAAGAAATAATTTTCTTTTCTTTTTTTTATTATACTTTAAGTTATGGGATACATGTGCAGAACATGCAGGTATGTTACGTAGGTATACATGTGCCATGGTGGTTTGCTGCACCCATCAAGCCGTCATCTACCTTAGGAGTTTCTCCCAATGCTATCCCTCTCCTACTCCCTCACCCCCTGACAGGCCCCAGTGTGTGATGTGCCCCCTCTGTGTCCATGTGTTCTCATCGTTCAACTCCCACTTATGACTGAGAACATGCGGTGTTTGGTTTTCTGTTCTTGTGTTAGTTTGCTGAGAATGATGGTTTCCAGCTTCATCTATGACCCTGCAAAGGACATGAACTCATCCTTTTTTTTATGGCTGCATAGCATTCCATAGTTTATATGTGCCACATTTTCTTTATCCAGTCTATTATTGATGGGCATTTGGGTTGATTCTGTCTTTGCTATTGTGAACAGTTCTGCAATAAACATACGTGTGCATGTGTCTTTATAGTAGAATGATTTATAATCCTTTGGGTATATACCCAGTAACGGGATTACTGGGTCAAATGGTATTTCTGGTTCTAGATCCTTGAGGAATCACCACACTGTCTTCCACAATGGTTGAACTAATTTACACTCCTACCAACAGTGTAAAAGCATTGCTATTTCTCCACATCCTCTCCAGCATCTGTTGTTTCCTGACTTTTTAATGATTGCTATTCTAATTGGTGTGAGATGGTATCTCATTGTGGTTTTGATTTGCATTTCTCTAATGACCAGTGATGATGAGCTTTTTTTCATATGTTTGTTGGCCACAAAAATGTCTTCTTTTGAGAAATGTCTGTTCATATCCTTCACCCACTTTTTGATAGGGTTTTTTCTTCTTGTAAATTTGGTTAAGCTCCTTGTAGATTCTGGATATTAGCCCTTTTTCAGATGGATAGATTGCAAAAATTTTCTCCCATTCTCTAGGTTGCCTGTTCACTCTGATGATAGTTTCTTTTGCTGTGCAGAAGCTGTTTAGTTTAATTAGATCCCATTAGTCAATCTTGGCTTCTGTTGCCATTGCTTTTGGTGTTTTAGTCATGAAATCTTTGCCCATGCCTATGTCCTGAAAGGTATTGCCTAGGTTTTCTTCTAGGGTTTTTAGGGTTTTTGGTCTTACGTTTAAGTCTTTAATCCATCTTGAGTTAACTTTTTTCTAAAAAAATTTTTATGATTGCTTAAATAGGAATAAAAAAATAAGTTCAAGCATAACCAACTGTGTGGAAATACTACTACACCAAGCTATGTAATCAAGTATATCCAAATAATTAAGTTTAACTCATAATTGCTAATTGTATTTGCACTTGGAATTAGAGAACACAGCACTTGAAGCTTGTATTTAAAATGTACAACATATAATCATCTGAGATCCAAATTACCCCACTCCCTAAAATAAAATGGAAATTATTTGATTGTATGCTTCATAATATAAAAATTATCTTATTCAAAAATTAGTGTCTTCCAGGAATATACATTTTTATATTAACTTTAATTTTATTTTATCCTATTTAAATATACGTGCAAGATAAAATAAAATGAGTTTTCACTATTAATTGACTTTCCATTATATTATGCTAACTCCAAAAGCACACAAAAATGTATCTAAAGCAATCTATAAGTATACTTCATCCAAATGAATAAAGTTAGTGTTTTAAGAAAGTGTTTGTGTTTTTGCTTAAGATAAAAGCTTTGGCTTTTTTTTTTCCTGTGATCGTATCATAGAAATTAGTCTAGGCTCAATTTGGTAAATATTACTATTTCTAAAAATATTACTGCTTTTCCTTCACTAATGAAAAGAATGTACATTCTGTCTGTAAGCTCTTCTCATGTCTATATTTATCTCCATGGCTGCCCACCTACTAACTCATTTCTTTTGTACTATCACCCTATTTTTATTTCATTGTTTTTTGTTGATTTTCTTCATTTCCTAATACTACAAAGAAGTTCAAATGAAGGGCACAGCAAAATGCCAATGGAAGCATTATATGCCTGCCCAGACCAAGTTCCTATTTTTAAGATGAATTTATGATATATACAATACCACTGAATGATAGCAAGTGAATATTTCATAGATGTTTCAAACTTCATATGTTAAGAAGCAGACACCGTCTTCTCTCTTGAAGCTGTTTTTCTTGTTTTCCCCTTCTAGGTAAATGTGCCACTGATTAGTATCCCCAACTAGGAACATAGAGTAATTCTTATTTCCTGTCTTCATCACTCCTTCCCGGCAACCACTTACTAAATTCTACAATCTGTATCTCCTAAGTCCTCTTAGAATTCTTCATGTCAACATTATTCCATCAAAATCTTCTTAATTGAAACTGTCATCTCTTTTCAACTTGGCTAATTCAGGAATTCCCCTGCTTCCAGTGTTGCCCTATTGCTCTCCATATCTCATATCCCCAACACATTCTCCACACTGCAGTCAGAAAGCCATTACCAAAAATAGTTCTAATCTTGCCATTATCTTGCTTAAAATAATGATTTTTAAAAAGAGCCAAAAAAAACCCCCACAAAATAAAACAACAACTAACATCATGTAACAGTATTTAACAGAGTAGATTCTAAAGTTGACTGCCTAGTTTCAAAACCCAGATCTATCACTTATGTGCTATGTATGTAACCTTGGGCAAATTACTTCAACTCACTGCATCTAAGTTTTCTCATATTAAAATAGTGGGATTACAAGCTACGTGTTTCTTCTGTTTCTTTCCCAGAACTCTAAATGATATGCTCTTTGTGTGTATGTGTATGTGTATTTGTAGAGAAACAGACTGGAAAGAAATCTAAAATGATTAACTTGATAGCAAAAAATCTTGATTATTTTATCTTATTTTTATTAAACTTTATTGTAGTTCCTGAATTTCCTATAATAAACAAGCATCAATTTCAAAAATTGTGAGATTAATAATTTCTTTATCATAGAGTTTAGTGAAGAAAAATGGCACATGGCCCATAGCATTTATATTGTTGAAAGTTTTAAATTCTTGTTATGTTTCCTCTATGAGGCACTTTACACAACAACAATCCTGTGAAGTATGACACATATTATCCTCACCTTATACATGCATCAACTCTCAGACTGTTAGTGGTCAAATCCCTTGCTAAAAACTACACGACAGGGTCAGGATTTCAGTCTAGAATGTCCTGATACCAAAGACCGTAGTAACCACAATAGTCTAGGCTGACAGATGGCCCTCTATGTCTTTTTCTGAGTTTCCAGGAAAAAGGTGAATGGATATATGCCAATTTTTGAGGCATTCCATGGTGGTTTGAAAGCAGGCTCACATCACACAAACATCACTGATATTGCTATAACCATGTAGATTCCAGGGCAGGGTGGGCAAGAAAAGGTGGACTTGGTAGTACAAAGCTCTCTGTGATCTCTCCTACGCTAGCTTTTTATAAAATCCATTGATCATTCCTCATCTTCCTTGTTTCTGTTACTCAGTCATAATGAAGTGCTTGCAATTTCCTGACAAACTGGCTCCCTCAGTCATCTTCACATTTACACATGTTGCACACTGTAGACTCTTCTCCAGTTGCAGCATTTTACTTATCCTTCATGATAATTTTATAACGTCACTTTCTCTAAAACTCTTCTCCATCCTTTCCAGGCAGCTTCTTCTCCTGAGCCCTTCTTCTCCTGAGATGTCATGATGCTGTTTTCTTGCCTCTCTGTGCACTTGTTACACTAGAGTGTAGTGTTATTCTCTCCTAACTTACTCTACTCTGAGCCCATGGAGAAGGTCAAAGTTTTATCTATAATTCTTGTCCCCTCTGCCTAAGATAGCAGCTGGTATACAGAAATTTAATAATTGCTCAAATAAGAATACATATATATGTATATACTCACATATATATGTTTAACTGCAGTTGAAATCAAAGAAACACAATTCACTCGAGCTTTCTTATAAAATTTTTGAAATCATAAAAGAGTCATGTCCATATATCTGAAAATTATGGCTGAATCTATTTATTCCTTGGCAAGTAGTTAAAGGCTACTTAACCAAATTTGACTTTGGCAGAATACTTAACTCATTGGAATTATCTTGCTTAAAAATGGATATAACACATCTTCCTATTATTAAGAAGTATTAAGGTACTTCCACAACCAGGCAACATTCTAGATGCTGGTGATAAAACAGTGAGCAGCCTTAGGGTTCACCCTGCTCAGATGTGTGGTTGATCCAGTAGAAGATCCACCCAAGAAAAGCCATTCAGAGTGTGATAAGAGTTCTCATGGGGGTGGGGATGGTCATGGGTGTTTCCATGGTCCTTTGGGATGTGTTTGGAGAGACCTATTCCAGACTTGAAAGCAGGGGTCAGGGCAGCCTTTCTTTGTGACACCCAAGCCGGATGGTATGCCTGAGTGTGTTTGTGCAAATGTGCACATGTACGTGTGCACTTCATGGCTAGGAGGAATAGGATCAGAAAGAGAGCTTCCCAGGTAAACAGAAGATTATTTTCAACAACTAAAAGGTGTCTACTGGCTCAATTTGAAATAAATTAGTGGGGGATTTGGACTCAAATATCACTGGACAAGTATAGGGGCTACATCACACTAAGCATTGTAAGTCTTCTTAAAAATGCCTTAGAGGAATGAGAAGCTATTAAGAGGGAAACAGATCAGAATTGCATTTTTAAAAAAATTACACTAACTGCAATGGAGAGACTAGAAAAAGGGAGACCAGTTAGAAGGCTGTTAATCATCCAGCTGACAGAGGGAGGTGATTTTGACCTAAGAAGTGGTAGGGGGTAGGAAAAAAATAAAAGATTTGAGAGATCATACAAGTATAGAATTGACAACCGATTGTTGTCGAGCCAAAAAAAGAAAAGAATCAAGGAAGATGTTCATGTTTCTAGTTTAGGCTCTGGTGAGCAGGAGAGCCAGTCACTGGAGATAACAGGTATGATGTCATGATCACCTGTTTCCTTTGGGACACACAGAATTGTTTTGAAGATTAAGTGAAATAGTTTACGTGACAGCAACTAACACAATGTCAATTCATAGTGCATTATAGCTCATTTCTGCAGGCATTTCCATTCCCTTCTTGTATTTTCTGAAGTTGTACCAGTAATTTAGTAGCAAAACTGGGAATAGAATCCCATGCTTCTGTTTACCAGTCCAGAGTTTTTTTGTTAATGGACTGCTGATCTATAAACAAAGATGAAACACAGGGATTTTAAAGCAAATATGAACAACTTATTCTGGAATTGCTTACAAGCTGTCATCTAGCCAACTTATTTTTAGTTTATATTTAAAATGAATCATATGTTCCAAAATGACTGACAGAAACACAGCTTTGTTTCTGAAGCCAATTCTTTTCCATCATTTTTGGACATCATTCAGAGCTATAACAGACTTTCAGCGTGTTTAAAAGCATTCATCCATGACAACAACAAATGCTAATTATCGTAAAAAATAAATAGCTCCTGTTAACATCATTTTAAGAATTTATCCTATTCCAGCACTATATTTCATTTATCATCCCATCTGTTTTGGGGGTGGGAACAAAGACTGGATGAAAGTATAATTATCATGTATCAAACTGGACAACACAACAAAAAAGAAATGAATACAAATGGGAGCAACAGCATACATAATAAATAAATATGGAAAGGAAAAAGGAAATATGTAAAAAAAAAAGCACATGTGTGTTTTGCAGTAAAAGCAGATACATAAGTCCATCATAAAGACAGTAATGTTTATTTTATTGTGTATGAGGTGGAGTTTTTCCCATTTCAGTTCACAGTAAATTTCCTATCACATCATCAAATAGTCATCTTGCTCTTTTGAGAAGCTGACAAATTCTCTTTGCTGAATTCTATCATTAAAACTATACCTTGCAAATATTCACAAACTATGCATCAAGCAAAGGTCTAATACCCAGAACCTATAAGAAACTGAAATAAATCAACAAGCAAAAAACAAATAACCCCATTAAAAAAGTAAGCAAAGGACAGGAACAGATACTCCTCAAAAGAAGATGTACATGCAGCCAACAAACATATGAAAGAAACGTTCAGCATCACTAATCATCAGAGAAATGCAAAACAAAACCTCAATGAGATACCATTTCACACTAGTCTGAATGGCTATTATTAAGAAGTCAAAACAATAAATGTTGGTGAGGTTGCAGAGAAAAAGGAATGCTTGTACAGTTTGGTGGGAATGTAAATTAGTTCAGCCATTGTAGAAAGAAGTTTGGAGATTTTTCAAAGAGCTAAACATAGAACGACATTTGACTCAGCAATACCATTACTGGGTATATACACAAAGGAAAATACATGATTCTATCAAATAGACACATGCATGCATATGTTCATTGCAGCACTATTCACAACAGCAAAGACATGGAATCAACCAAGATGCCCATCAATTGTGGATTGAATAAAGAAAATGTGGTACATATACACCATGGAATACTATGCAGCCATATAAAAGAACAAAATTATGTTCTTTGCAGCAACATGGATGTAGCTGAAAGCCATTATCCTAAGTGAATTACAGAGGAACAGAAAACCAAATACTTCATGTTCTTATTTATAAGTAGGAGCTAAACATTTGGTACATACGTACATAAATCTAGGAAAAAATAGACACTGGAGACTACAAGCGTGGGGAGGGAGAGAAGAGGTTAAGGGTTGAAAAACTATCTATTGGATACCCTGTTCATTGGGTGATTGGTTCAGTTGTACCCAATGCTCAGCATCATGCAATATAGCCTTGTAACAAACCTGCACATGCACTCCCTGATTTTAAAATGAAAGTTGAAAAAAATTCTACCTTGAGACTTTGACACATAAACAAAAAGACAAAAAGTCTACTATATATTTATAAATACATTTCAAAGGGACTTTTCTGCCTTCGAGTCAGTTCTATCATATTAAATAATCAAAGTTCTCAAAAATGCTGTAAAGTAAGAGGCAACAATTGGTCTGTTACAAGTGCAATTATCCCATTGCAAATAGTATTAAAAATATGAGTTATTACATGTCCCTCAATAGGGATTAGAAGCTCAACAAGGGCTGGGCCTTTGTTTCCTTTAGTGGCATATAATTCCTTTCGTGGCATTTAACTCTCCCTGGCATGTATCAGTTGATAATCAAAATTCATTGAATTAAATGTTGCATAAAATGGAACAGCAATATGTTTTATTCTTCAGAGGATTTCAAGACATATTTATTCTATGAATAATTCTGTAACAATTCTAAGTTAGCATTACCACTTAACTAATCAGACTTTTCAAATATCCAACTGTCTATGTCACCTTCAAAGCCAAGGGAGTGGCAAAGTTTCCTTTAAATAGTAACGAGTAACTAAATAGTAAGCATTTTAATAAATTTGAGGTCAGGACTCCATTAAATGTATATAATCAACTAGCTATACATATGTCCCTATTTATATTTGCCTCAATGATATAATTGAGAATATAATTTAAAGCAGGAATAGAACAAATACATGAGGCTGTATTTTACCAAATTATTGTAGGACCTGATTGCAAATCCCATTATCTATTTAGTGAATCACTTAAGACCCACATATATTAAATAAAAATGCCACACATGTGCATACACGTAGGATTGTGAATAAAGTTAATATGTCTGTAGACATTTTGAATACTTGTCAATTTTCTTCTTCCTATGAGGAGTTTAAGGATGATAATTAATACAAAATATCACATGTATGATGTACATACCTGTGTGCATGCACATATGTATATAATGTATACATTATAAGGATATATGATGTTTGGACAACCTATACATGAATTACATCAGGAAGGAATGGAGAAGTAAACAATCCACAGATTAACAATGCACATGTATCTATATTTATATAGTTTTGTAGATGACCATCCATAAACATAAGTGGACCAATTTGCAACTGAGGATCCCTTGGATCATTTGATTACACATACTCACAGAAATCATTCATATAGAACCTGACATTCAAAATTGGAACACAGAACTTTACCAATGACAAAGAAGTAATGATTTAGGAAGAAAGCAATATAATAAATTTAATAGGTTTAATTTGAGCTAACAGAGATCAAACATACTTATTTTTAAGGACTCTTAATAATGTATTCCTAATTTTTAATTATTTATAAATATTTCACATTTTAAATAAGAAAACAAAATTACTCTAATTTGTATCTAGATGCATTTCACTCTTTCTTATCTAATTGAAAATGTTTTTGAAATTATTTTCCCTTTTTTTAATCCTGTAGCTCCCAGTTTCCTATTCCCTTGAAAGAGTTCTTATCTGTCAATTTGCAGATGACCAATTTTATTGGCAAATGGGCAAATTTCTGCACAGAGTTCTATATACTGCATGCATGAACAAAATGTGCTCCTGGCATACTTTGAGAGAATTTAAATTCAAATGAAATTCAATCTCAATGTAATTATGAAAGTATAGCGAAGTGTCCTAAAATAAAATGTTTTTATGTTCTAATTTAAAGAGCACTGTTTATATTGTTGATAAACATCTTAAAGTAAAATTAATTATCACTCTATAGTAAGCAAAATAGTATGCAGCTGCATCACCAATGTAACTTTCAATGAAAATTAAAATTTCATTTTTGTTACTTTATTGTATTTCTCTGAGACTTGTTTTTAACTGATAATTCAAGATAACCATTTGTATGCAAAAATAATAAAATGCATTAACATAAGAAAGCAGACAACCTGTAGTTAGCAAATATTTATTAAAATATTCCTTTAACTCACTGAAATAAATATCATTTAGTAAATTCTATTTTCTAAGTCTCTAAATGACATCTACACAAAAGCAGTTCCACAAACTTGAGTGTTTCAGTGAATATTATATTGTTCCACATATGAGTAAAAACTTTTCTAACCTTAACATGCCTTATAAAGTTTGTTACGTTTTATATGCATTCTTTGCACATAAACAGCCAGATAAAATAGTAAGGCATAATTCTGAATTTCTTGGCAAGTTTCACTGACTCATCACAAGGCTTTGCCTTGAGAAACTACCCTAGCAAAAACTTCATAGCAGAAAAATTCTTTAAATAAATATTTCAGAATGGGTCCAGTGGCTCACACCTGTAATCCCAGCAGTTTGGGAAGCCAAGGCAGGTGAATCTTTTAAGGTCAGGAGTTCGAGACCAGCCTGGCCAACATGATGAAACCCTGACTCCACTAAAAATACAAAAATTAGCCAGAAGTGGTGGCGTATGCCTGTAATCCCAGCTACTTGGGAAGCTGAGGCAGGAGAATCGCTTGAACCTGGGAGGCAGAGGTTGCAGTAAGCTGAGATTGCACCCTTGTATGCCAGCCTGGGCGACAGAGTGACTCTATCTATCTGTCTATGTACACACACACACACACACACACACACACACACAGAGACACACACACGCACACACACACACATTATTCAATATGATCTAAATTGTTAGACCATATTGTTTTTGAATAAATTGTTTTTGAATACATGGATTCTTACTTTTTAAATGACTGGAATTCTAAATATATATATACATATGTGTGTGTGTATGTGTATGTGTACGTGTGTGTGTATCTATCTATCTATCTATAATATTGTTTACTACATCTATCTTTCATCCAACCTACCAAACTAGCTGATCTTTCACAGGAATAAAAAAATGCTTATTTTACAAATACAGAGAAGAAGTATTCAACATAGGTATTCTTTGTTTGGATATGTGAAATTAGGATTGGTGTTTGATTCTGTCTTTCTACCCCTTAGCTGAATTTTCAAAACTCAAAATAAAGCACATAAGAATACAATAAGAACCTGGAATGGGCTTCAGAAAATTATCTATATTTAAAGCATAGCTCCAAAAGATACTGATTTTTCTTACCAGTGCTGTCATCATACACAACCGTGACGGTTTTCCACTTGAAAAACTGCACCAGGTCTAAAATGGCACGGCTGAGTGAAGAGAAGTCTGGGTAGAGACTGACATAGAAGGAATCTTTGTTGTCTGACACCTGGTGCTTCCAGCGGGTCTGTATGTGGGGAACTCCCAGAGCATTGCAGATGGACTGCACTGCGTTTGCTGATGAGCTGTGTGAAGGCCCGAAGATGGCAGCCACCCCAAGAGACAGCTGATCACAGGCTGAAGAGGAGATAAAGGTCTGTCAATAATGAGAGGAGAGGTGCCAGTGTGCCAACAGATACCACATTATTATTTTAAACCCAAAGGTATCATTCTCAAGAAAGATTTGTGTTTTTAAAAAATATATATCTACTTTTCACTAATTTAAAATTTTGTCTGACTCTGAACACTTTCCGTTTGTTACAAGGGAATTAACTCACCCTGCAGCTCAATGTTCAAATAATTCTATAAATAATGTCAGGGGAGGGAGACAGGCAAGGAGAGAGAGGATGAATATTTTTTAATTTAAGGGGGCAGTGCTTGTTTTGGAAGACTAGTTTATATGAGGGGAATGAGGGAATAGTGCAGCTTCTCAAATTCACTGAACAGTTTTTACATTTTCCATTTCTTAATCAAAAGCCACATGGTTCCCCCTTTACTCGTGCAATTAGCTATGCTCACACACAGATGAACATTTCCACCTATCTGATGATACATGTCGGGTTATGCGAACACTCAGCCACACAAAACCTGCTATAGCTCTTAGAGAGTGATTTCATATGGATCAGTCACACTGAGTAGAAAAACAGAAAAGTCATTAGACAAGTACTCAGTCATCTTTATATATTTGGCTTTTGGATGCTATAAGTGTTTTCTATTATTCTATTTTTTAAAGTTTGTATTTACTCACAGAAAATTTTATTCATATCAATAATAACCACAGTAATTAAGAAAGGCATGAACAAACTAGAGGGTATTCAGATTAAAATAGACTGTGCCATGACCTGAACTTTCTATAAGGCACACTGACACAAATAGCGAGCTTGGGCCTAGAAAGTGAGTAATTATTGGGAACACAAAACTTATCTTTAAATATATGAAGACCTGGCATGTGAAAGAAGCTTAAGTTTGTTTCACTTGATGGGCAAAGGGGAATTAGAAAAAAAATAGAAGCTTCCCCTGAATTTTTACCCACTTCATATTTATTTATTTATTTATTTATTTATTTATTTATTATTTATTTTGTTGATATAGAGTCTCAGTCTGTCGCCCAGGCTTGAGTGCAGTGGTGTGATCTCAGCTCACTGCGACCTTTGCCTCCCGGGTTCAAGCGATTCTCCTGCCTCAGCCTCCCGAGTAGCTGGGACTACAGGCACATGCCACCAAGCCTGGGTAATTTTTTGTATTTTTAGTAGAGACAGGGTTTCACCATGTTAGCCAGGATGATCTTGATCTCCTGACCTCGTGATCCACCCGCCTCGGCCTCCCAAAGTGCTGGGATTACAGGCATGAGCCACCACACCCGGCTATTATTTTTAATTCTAAATAATGGCCTCATGCCATGGTTCACACCTGTAATCCCAGCACTTCGGGAGGCCAATGCAGGAAGATCGCTTGAGACGAGGAATTCGAGACCTGCCTGGGCAACACAGTGAGACCTCCTCTCTACTAAAACAAAAAGAAAAACAAAAACAAACAAACAAAAAGAAACAAAAAAAAATTCAGCTGGGCATGGTGCTGTGTGCCTATAGTCCTAGCTACTTGGCAGGCTGAGGTGGGAGGATCACTTGAGCCTGGGACATTGAGGTTGCAGTGAGCCATGATGGTGCCACTCCTGGCCTACCTGGGTGCCAGACCAAAACTGTGTGTCAAAAAAAAAGTAAACCATGTTGAAAAATGAAATAGTCTTCCCCAAGAGGCAATGGTTTGCCCATCACTGCAAATATTTAAAGGACAGAGAAGGATTGTTACTGAGCTTTAGGCATAAATTAGGTGTTCAGACTCAATTCCTCCAAAATGGATAGTTTATTATTCTACCGTGTGAAAATTTCTGCTATTTTCCCTCAGTTTTCTCCATAAAATATAATATTATACGTGAATTAAGCATGGAAATATTTAATAATTAAGTAAATTATTGTCAGAACACTTGTTTAAACATTCTTTAAAAATCAATATGATCTAAATAAATTGTTTTTAAATACATGGATTCTTACTTTTTAAATAACATGTGGAATTCTAAATTAGTATAAATGGTGGCTAGACTTGAGAATTTTTCACTCAACATGAGATTTTAATTCATATATACTGAAGATAAATGATCTTCCTTCACCAGGTTTGTGACAAATCACAAACCAAGAAAAGCTAAAAACACTGAATTAAGTTATTTAGAATGTTTCTAAGTGTGTTTCAAGCAAGATTAGAGCTTTCGGTTATCAGAAGAGTTATTTAAAAATATATGATTCAAACAATAATTCAAGCTCTAATACATCAAAGTATTTATTAATTGAGCAGAACAATACTACCCTTTAAAACTATAACAGAAAAAAATTAGATAAAATGTCAAAAGGTAACATCTCATTTATTATTATTTTCTTGCATTGGATAAATAATTACATTTTTAAAATATCTAAAGTTATTTTATAATTAATCATTAACAATATTATCAATATATACATTTCTTGATAAAGTTAAAAAAATATTGGCTCTGTTATATTATGTTTTTATGTATTGCTGTGTCCTCCAAGCAGTAATAACTCAACAAACAAGAGATTCAGAAGATAAAATCCAAACCATGACATTCACAAAGACAGTTATTCATACACTTATTTCAGCTTTTCCTAGCTTCAAGCCAAAGTGAAATGATGGATTTGATTCCCAGTGAGTTTTTATTGGGTAACAAAGCTTGTAAATTTCTTATAATATTTTGGTCAAACCACATGACTTTATCAATTCATAATTTTGCTAGGGCATTCCCAGGATAGTACTCTGTTGTGAGAACATCCGAACCTGTGTTTTTTTATGCTGTTCATTTGAAATCACCATTAAGAAATCTACTAATATTTTATCTATACTGCACTCATACTCCATATTCTTTGATCAAAATGCTTTCATTAGAGGCAGAACTTCTTCTTCCTAATGGAAACAATCATGAACTATGCCACTAATCAAATGTAATAGTCTTGAATTAATGATTTATTTTGCAATTATGATGACAAATGTAATATTTCACAGTTACCTTTAACCTTTTTCTCAGTCTTCAAAACCTTTCATCACCTGACAGGCTCTGAAATGTGGAAACTTATTTGTATTCATAAAGATATGAATTCAAAGGGCATGCAAAGTATGGCTTTGATAAACACTACTTAGCTGCTGGGGGAAAAGAAGGATACTTTCATCTCGAGAAATACTGTACCTTGTCAGCTACCATTAATATTAATGAGCTTAAACAATTTGCACTAACCTGGAATTATAAATAATTATGTACATTTCCACCAATATAAGGTAGCTACAGTAAAACCATATTAGCATTACAGAAAGGCAAACATTGTTTTAAAATATAATGTTAGAACAAACACTTTATAAGCCTTTTCCTTTGAGAAAAATCTTTATTATAAAATTTAATTCCTATTATATAAATGCTAACTATGCAAAAGAAAAGATCACCTACTATAAGATTATCTACATATATAAGAAAAGATCACCCACATAAGACTATAGAAGCACCTCTCAAACACATTTACTACTGACAGCTGTCTGGTTAAAATAAATGCTTTAATAATAGTTTTCTCTATTGCCTTCCTTCATATATAAATATTAAATTTTTATTCCACCAAATTATTTTTCTTTTTATTCTTTTTCTATATTTTTGACATTTACAACAGTTATAACATGAAAATAAAACTCATAAAGTATTCTAATTATGTCCTTATATAATTCAGTTTTTACATAATCAGCCATTTATTTTCAGTTACAAAAAGAAATATTAGATGGTTAAAATATGAGCATGGAATATACATAAACTAATGGTTGTTTAAAATTTTCCAATTAAGTTTCAATATATGCTGACATTTTGAAGTCACTTAGAACCACATAACTTTCAAGGTAGCCAATCAATTGAGACCACAGTAATAATATAATGGGATTGAAAGATAATGCAAATAAAGATGTAAGAATGGATTGCAAAATTGGTAAAATCCACTCATATAAATTTTATATTTGTGGGTTCTTAAAAATAGGAATGCTTCTATAATAAGATGGAAGGATCAATAGAAAAAAAATTTCACTAACAGATGTAATTGTATTTCATGTTATAAGCAGATTTTTTGCAAGAGGAATTATACTTTATCTTCTCTGATAAAATTTATATGCATTTTGAAAATAAATCTTTGCATGCAAATATTCCTAACAACTTATTAACTGTATGTTGAAAAATAAAAAAATCTCTTAAGAATACCTAGAAATTTGAATTCCAGGAAACAAAGATGTTAAAAATCTATCAATTACCTTTCTTGGATGCTTCAAAACTATCATAAAGGTTTATCTTCTGGGTATCATAGGTAAGGGTAGTATTGGGTAGCAATGTTCTGTTTCTGTTAATTGTGTTCACAGCAAATCTGAATGCAAGTTCCTCAGCTCCCATTGGGCCAGATTCCACATATTCAAAAATACCACCTGGCAAAAAGAAAGAGAAAAATCATAAATTTTACAAGAATAAACATAATTTTCACAAGATAAAGAAAATATCAGAAGTTTTCTGTACTTTTATATATGTGCAAGTGCATTTGCGTGTGTGTGTGTGAGAGAGAGAAAGAGAGAGAGAGAGGGAGAGATTTAAGTACATGGGGTGTGTGCTTACTTTATGAACTTTGGGATATTCTCTTTTAGCCACAGCCATACTGGTAAAATTGCCTTAGTATTGCTGCCAAAATTTAACATGATACAAATATGATTTGGACTTTTTTTCTTTAGTTATTACTTATTTTAGGGCCTAGGTATAGAGAGGTCTTGACTTAAGTACTGAAATTTATCCCCCCCAAAATTTGTAAACAGTTCCAGAATAATCAATCCTCTTCATTGATATATACTATAAAATTAAGCATTGAAAAAAATGTGTTAAATTCCGTCTCCATTCAGAAATCAAAATTCTTTTAAACAATTTTTTTTCTTTTTTAAGACAGTCACTCACTTGCCCAGGCTGGAGTGCAGAGGAGCGATCACAGCCCACTGCAGCCTTGACCTCCTTGGGCTCAGGTGATCCTCTCACCTCAGCCTCCCCAGTAGTTGAGACTACAGGCGTGTGCCATCATTTCCAGCTAATTTTTGTATTTTTTGTATAGTCGGGGTTTCACTATATTGCCCAGGCTAGTCTCAAACTCCTGGGCTCAAGCCATCTGCCTGCCTTGGCCTCCCAAATTGTTGGGATTTACAGGAGTGAGCCACCGTGCATTTATTGTGTTAAAAGCCCAAATTATTTGCAAATTTCAGCATCTTACTTGCGAGAAAAGAGAGTTAGCATTTTGCTAGTTGCTTTATTCTAAGTCCCTTTTAAGAAGACACTTGACATTTATGAAGGATGCCTCTCCAAAACAATGCAACTCCTTTAATCAATGAATAAAACTAGTATATAATTTTGGCCATAGAGTATAATTTTAAAATATGTCCCTTCAATTTGTGACCTTCCACCAGCTCTGTCTCATTCCAGTTCCCTCACTCTTGTCACAACCTTCCTTCTCTCTAATATCATTGCTCTCTCGTTAGCTGGGAGTGACCCAACTGAGGCCTTTGCCTCCAAAAGAATCATTGTTGGTTTGAATAATGAAATAAAAGGTGGAGCATCTGATTCCTAATCCCCTCCAACCTCTGTCCTTAGGAAACAAGTACTTTAAAAACGCAGAACATTTATCTTTCTTCCTTTCAAATTTCACACCATGTACTCCCCGTACAGTCATTCATAAATTAAACTTTCTTGAATAAGCTATTCCACATCTAGCAATTCATACCTCATCAAAGATATTTTGACACATGAATGTCAGGTGACTATACTATTAGCAAACTACCTATTATAAATTAGTAAGAAGTCGTAATGTTGTAACAATTCCTCTAACTATGAGGAATTAGGACTCAGAATAGACTAGAGGGGTGAGGCAAATTTACATTCAGGAACAAGATAAAAAATATTATTTGATACCATATTCATTTGAAATATTTCTCTTATTCTGGATTTTAACCAATTTAAGGGTGTACTTACTAAAACAATCAACTTGTGAAATGGCACTCAATATATTTGAAGTCTTTGGTGACTTATGTTAAGCAAAAGGATAATAATTATATGTGTCTAATGGGTGTAAAGAACTAACCTAGATTCCTTCTGTGTATGTGGAGAAGAACAGTGGTATTCTTCTTTACTCTCTACCCTTATATATAACATTTATTTGGAGCTAGACCGGGTTTAACATTCTGGATTTGCCAATTGCTATCTGTATAATTTTGGGCAGTTGCTTAAAACCTCAGTCTGAGCTGCCTCATCTCTGAAAGAAGAATGACAAGGGAGGTTACTGCATAGAATTGCAATAAAGAATAAATGTTAGCATGTACAAAACATTTAGAGTGGCTGTCACAGAGTAAGCACTCAACAAGTATTTGAGGTCACAATGAACCTTCAAAGCCATCCAAAATAGCATTATTTTACAGGAATTACCCCTCTGGTCAAAGATCACATAGCTATCAAGTGATAGAGCCACTAGTAGAATCTGCTCATGCCTGACTTCAAAACCCTTGCCTGTTCCACTACAAACTAGTAGTTTTCTGCAAAATTTCAGTCAGGCAAAATATACAAAACTTCCTAAAATGTGAGATAAGATGACTTAATAAGACGTAACTAAAAATGTAAGATCTTATATATGAAACAGAAAAATAGTTAACTAATTGTAAGGTACTTGTAAAGTTAAGTAGAAATAAAGAGAAAATTATAGAAATGCAAGCCTTAAGTGGTTTCTTGCTGGCAAATAAAACAAAAAACTGAATCTTCTACTTTTTTCGTTCAAAATGGTAGTTTCTATGTAATAAAAGTATGCAATAAAGATCATATTTTATAATATTGGATCAATATTTTACCCAGTTATAATATTGAATCAATATTTGATGATACTGAATTGAAACTTTCTTATTCTTTATCAATCTTTAAAATAATAATTCAAATTCGACTTTAAGTTTACATATTTATCACAAGTTTGAATGTTTAAAGAAATCTTTTTATTTCCTTAGGATAACCCATTTTCCACCTTAAATTAAAAAATAAATAGCTATATTTTATTAATCCAAGCCAGAGTTTAAAATTTTGTAATAAAAACATCCAGATAACGCAACCTTTTAAGACAAAATATAACCACCCAACAATGTTAACTAAAGAAAAGAGATAAATCATGAATAGCTTATTACCCCTTGTATGTGGAAGGAGATGAAAAAAATCTAGTAAAGAATTGGTTTCCAAATAAAGTTAGATTGGTGTTACAAACTATTGAGGAGAAAGAACTTTTTAATTCTATTTAAAAATTCGGAAAATCTTACTATCATCCAACTTAGTAATTGTTCCAAGAAGAAAAAAGTAGATTCACCATACTAGATAGTATAAATGCAATTGATAATTATTTTTATTTAAAAATACTTTTTTGGAAAACAATAAAATAATGAGACTTTATTAAGATAAAAATCACGAATGAACAGTAAATTTTATATATAAGAGGAGGAAGTTCCATTAAGGTCAGGAAAAAGATAAAATGTCTACAATATCCACTCTTCTTTAGTATTTATTTTCATTTCATAACATATAGAGAAGAGATACAAATGTGTTTTGCCAAATATGTTTGACTATATCAATGAAAATACCAAAATTGAAAGGATTTATCACCAACAAGCCTCCACTAAAACAAATACTAACTAAATCAAGTTCTATAGGCAGGTTATTGATTACAGAGGAAGCCACTACATTGCTTCAACATGTGAAGTATACGAGAAAATACAAACACATGGGTGAAAATCAATAAATTTGGACTATAAAAAGAAAGAATAGGAATGACTGATGAAGTTTATGTTTAGAATTAAAGTGTATGGTAAGTATAATTAAAAAAGCAAAAAATGCATAAATAGAATTAAAGGATTTTAATGTTTTAGCAGTATTTGGAGAAATACTATGTTCAGAAATAACTGAACATAGTAATTCAAGAATGCATTTTGAATTCTAGGACAAAGACTAAACAAATAATGAAATAGTATCTGATGAAAAATTAATAGAGAAAAATAGATAAGTAGAACACAGAATCCATAGTTTTCCATCTATATAGACAACAATATTAAAGTGATAATACTGCAGTTCTAATAAAAAAGGATTGTATTTTCAATAAATATTTCTGGATTAAGTAGATAATTATATAGAAATTATTTCAATCATACATTGAAATGTGACATTAAAAAATAAAGTTCAAAAAAAAGCTAAGAGAAGATGTTTTAAAAGAAAACAAAAAGTGATGCTTATAAAGGTAAAAATGTGACATATTAGACTTTCTTAAAATTAAGAACTTCCTAATCAGAGACACACACAAGACACACACTCAACAGACACACACACGTGTATATGTGTGCCATAAACAAATGACAAAACACACACACACATATATATACACACACATATATATATGACATTTTCTTTATATCCTATAAGTAGAATTAGTGGATTCACACATATATACACACATTTAGTAGTTTCACGTGTGTGTGTGTGACAGAGGGAGAGACAGAAAAGACTTCTCTTTTAAAGAATCTACAAAAAAAGAAAATGGCAGTCAAACCAACAGAAATATGGGTAGAAAATTTGAACAAGCATTCCCCAAAAGATAAGTTGAAATGGACAATGTACATAAAAAAGTGATCAATTTCATGGTATTATGGAAAATGAAAATTTAAACCACAATTTGAAACAATTTTATATACACCAGCATGGCTAAAATGAAAAAGACAAACTGGCTCAATCAACATTGAAAATTGAGTGTCTGAATCTTCTACCACTGAAAATATACAAACTCTGTGACACAGAAATTTCACTCTGGGATAGCTGATAAACATAAATCTGTACATAAGTTCATCAAAGCATATGTGCAAGAATATTTATAACAACATGGAAGACCTGCATCAATAAAGAACTACATGCAATAACATGAGATGAATCTCACAAACAAATGATTGAGTGAAAGAAGCCAGACACAAAAGTATACTGCTGCATGATTTCATTGTTCAAAAAGTTCAAAAAATGTTAGTGGTGGGAATAGCAGTAAGAAGAGAGCATGATGTGCTTTTGGGATGCTGGTGATGATCTGTTTCTTAATCTGAGTGCTTGGATACTTATTACTAGAACTTTACTTGTATCATGTGTGCACTTTACATAGATCATTCTTTAATAAAATTTTACTTTAAAAAACAATTGTATGAAAGTGCTAAGGCCTTTCTAAGTTTGAAAACACAAGCAGTAAAAATAAAGGCAATATTACTAAATGTAGCTTCAATATTTGAAAAACATCTATGCATCAAATATAACGAAAGACAAATATGAAAATATATGAAAGTATATTAAATATAATACATTTTACAAGAAAATAATATATTCAATAAAAAAACTAGCTACTGAAAACACAACTCCAGTAGAAAAACTGGCAAAGAACATAAGTAGATAATATTCATAAATAATAAATGCAAATAACCGCTAAATGTAAGAAAATGTTCAAAAACAGGAAAAGGGAAAGGTTAATTAAAACAATGAGATAGAATCTTTATGAATCAAATGTATTGAGGTGTAAGAAAGAGCACAGCTGAATAGAAAAATAAATCGACACAAACTTTATTGAAGTCCTTTTTTTAAATCTATCAAGCTTTAAAAATATCACACACTTGAAAGCACTAATTCTACTTACAGGATGGAAACTTAAGGAAAATGTCACTGATTTAGCTGCAAGGATGTTCACTTCTTTATTTATAAGAACACAATGATTCAAAATTTTCTAAGTATACAATGGTAAAAGACTTTTTACAGAAACTATGGTAGATATACTTAATAAAATACTATATATTTAGCCATTTTAAAATTATTCTATAGAAGGTATTTCATGACAAAATGCTTCAGAAGTAGTTATAATATGCCCTTATGCATAACAATATATTAACCTTGGTTCATTTTAGATGATAGGCATTTGATTAATTTTGACTTTCTGATTTTTTATTTATTTGTATAATTTAAATAGCTAACAATGGAAATATGTTAATCTTGTTATTTAAAAAAATGAATATTCTTCAAAATGAAGCTAGAATATTAAAGAGTAGCAGAAAACAGGACAGTGAAAGGTGAAGATAAAATCTCAGGGTGTTTGTGTCTTTGCTTCATTTATAATGAGAAAGACTTAACATATTTATATGCAGAGGGAAAGAACCAATAGGAAGAGAAAGCTAAAAGGTAGAAAAGAGAAGGCATTAGTGATGGAGCCAGGTGTCTCAGGAAAAAGAGAGGATCAAATCCAAAGCATGGCAAATAGGCTAAGCCTAGGGGAGGAGGACACCTTATTCACTCCAGCAAGAAGCAATTATCTGTAATCTGCAGATGTGAAGATGGGCAGGAAATCAGGGGCATATATACTTCATGTATTTTCTTTGTAAAGTGAAATATAAGGCTCTCTATATTTGATTCTCTGAGGAAGATCTCAGCTGGTTTTTATAATTTTAAAAGAACATCTTTGATTTTTAAATTGCTATTATAAAATTGAATGGCAAAGCATTTTTTCCACCTGTTCATGAGCCTGCAAAAGGATAATTGTTCACATGATTTTAAACAAGATGTTTTTCTTTCCTATGACTTGAAAAAATAATATCCATTTTGTACTGGGAATCTTCTATAAAACTGTTTTCTCCTAGAATTATTCTTTTTATTATAATGTCAGGATTGTACATAGTATTTCATAAGCATGTGATCCATGAAGAGATAATTGCTCTCCTGAGAGTTCATAAATCATGTTTGATGGATAAAATATATCTCAGAATAATAAAGGACTCATAAGACCTATATGATCTTAAAGAAGCATCTTAGTAATCAATAATTTTGTGCTCTTTCTAGACTTACACCAAAATTCAACCAGTTTCACATTTTCAAGAATCTGGAGACTCCTGTGTAGTTATCATCTAATTCCTTATTCTCCATACAACACAAGCAAAATGTACTGCTTTCTCATACTTACCTTGAACTTTTTAGGTTCAAAACATCATCTAAGAAAATCATTCTCACAGCTTTATCATTGTTTTATTTCTTAATTCAGGAAGGGCCATCATATCTCACATAACCTCTATATCAAACCATAAAATGCCCGCAATTCTTTTTCCAAGCTTATATTAAAAGTTAACAGTTCTCTTCACTACAAAAGGCTTGTTAAAAGAAGAAAAAAAGAAGGAGAGGAGAATACCTTTCTTTTTCATGGGCACAATTGCCCTCCTTTGTTTTGTAGATATAGGAAACCAAATGTCAAGTGATCCCTGGTTTACACAGAACACTCAGTGCTGAAACTTTTCACATCACAGTCTCTGACTCACAAAAGAACTTCACTACTTAAGACTTGAAATAAAAGATTAGTCAACTGCTAAAGCCTAGTCAATGCCTTTCTCTTTTAAATCAATTGTAACTACTACTGAGGACTGTATGACTCATAAACCCATGATGGATGTACCAACCAACGTCACATCTAACCTCTGAGACTTTTCAAATAGGTCTTACCTTAAAGTGAGTACAATCTGTGTTTTGTAGACTTTAATTTAATAAAGAAACTGATGTTCTAAATGGCACACCATCTGTTATCCTCCCAGAAGATATGTTGATTTTCTCCATCAAATGTTATACCAATCTTATTTCCTGTCTAAACAATTGCAAAAGGTTCCTCTGCATTTTAATTTTGTACAAATCATTATCCAAAGGACAAAATCATCAAGCTTCTTTAATTTTTATACAATATAATGCCAAAGGACAATGTTACATTGGCCTTTGGCTATTAAATGACATGCCATGGATATTAAATGACATTAGGGTATCATTTTTTTCTCCTTAGGCAAAATAATGATATAGTGGTTATATAAGAAAATATCCTGACTCTTAGGAGATCAAGTCTTTAGGTATGAAAGAAGTATCATAAACAAAAAACTGGAAAAATATAAGCAATTGTTTAATCAAAGTGCTTATGAGTGTTTATTTATACAATTGTTTGAACTTTTCTGTATGTTTAAAAATTCAAAATAAAAGTTTGGGGGGAAAAGAAAATGGACAAGAAGAAATAAAACCCCAATACTCATTTTGTTCTTAATGCATATTTTTAACAGACTTCTCAAAATGACCATTAAATTAACCTGCAAATATTTACATGTACTATGCACTAAAATTGCACTATTATCCTGAGTGTAAAAGATGGAGTCTAAGAATCATACAATCTGTAAATCATCTGGTCTACTCATCATTCAGATACATAGATTGCCTTTATTACTACACATTGGCCTCCAGGAATGACAAACTTATCATCTGAAGCAGTCCCTCACCTCTCTGGAGAGCTCCAGCACAAAGTTCTCCCATATATTAATCCATCCCCTGTTTTCCTAAAGTTTTTAATCATATCTTTTTATTGAGATACATTTAATCCCAACTTAAACATGATTATCTTCCAGAATTTGAAAACATTTCATCTTCCTACTGCGTTTCTTTCATCTAGCCTAACACTTTGAAATTGTTTAACTGTTTGTCACATGACTAATCTGATCCTTTCGTTTTTCTAGTTTTTTTTTTTTTTCTGAACACAGCCTAGTGTGTCCACAGTTCAATGTTATACTCCAAGTGTATCCAAGCAAAGCAAATTATGAGAGAGTGGCCAGCTCCATAAGTTAATGTATTATAGATAAAATACTGGATTTTTTTAACAGTACAGTATCACACTGCTCATTCATCTTAAGCTTATTGTTTAAAAAGTTTATGTTTGTGATGTACTTTTTTAAAATTTTTTTACAAGTATCCCTGATTAATATCTTTTACTTACAGTTGGTCTAATTTTCTAATTAAAACCACTTGGGGCCTAATTCTATCATCAACTGTTATTATTAACTTATTCAACATCTAATGTATCAAGGTAATTTACTAATATTACAAAGGTATGTGAAATGTGTTTCTTTACCTTCTGCCTTTAGGTCATATTCAGTTTTGCTTTTATATCTAAGTCAGTGATAAAAATCATAAGCCAGAAAGAGTTAAAGACCAAGCAAAGCTTTAGACCATAACCTCATAGATACCCCACTGGAGTCTGTCCCTATTGTTAAACTAGGTAATGGTCTTCTTAATTATTCTAGCTAACAGTTTATAGATTCCCATCATTTCTACAGGAATGTCACTGTAAACCTTTTCATATGCTTGACTAAGTCCAGAAGTTCTATGTCTTCCACACCACAACAATGCATCTCCACTGGATTTTTCATGGATACTTGCACCTATTCTAGCTTTTTTCAGTAGTTTATAGCTACTACAATCAAAGTCATTTTTATAACGTGAAACATTGATCTTATTATTCAACTTCCTAAAATCTTTCAATGACTAATCTTTAAGCTTAATGCTATTTACAAAGTTTTTCATAATTTGTCTTCTACCTTCCTTTCCAACCTCTTTTCTTACCACTCCCACTTCCCCAGTCATACAGCCATATTAAACCACTTACCTTTACCTGATTGAACCAAAATCAAATGCCTCCATTGCTTTCCAAACAGGGCTCATCTGCCCAGGAGCCCAGCTTCTTCTTACTGACCTATGTACCTACACACACACACACACACACACACACACACACACACATTAACACATACATCTGTAAATTTATCTCTCATTGTGAGCTTTTGAAATAGTCACCTTTTCTGGGAAAACATTCCTCACTGGTCCTAACTGCACTGAACTAATTGTGTCTTTGCTTTATGTGCTCAATGTTCCAGACCCCTTTCAAACATAATGCAAACTCCTGCAATTTGAAGCTAAAGAAATTTAAATAAGTATGAAACATGTTTACACCTAAGCTCAATCTCATTGAAGAATGAAAGTTCCTAACAGTCAACATTTATTGACATCATACGCTACATCAGGCACTGTGTATTTTACAAACATTAATAAAAAGTCATCAAAAAGTTTATTTGACTCACGTTTTCTGTCTTTAATCTATTTCCCATCAAATAAAATTTATATTTTAAGTCTGAATATAATAATATTTAAGTTGTCCCAATTACTGAGTCTAAGATTTGTTTTTCTTCTTTATGTTTCAGTCCTGCAAGGTAGATTAATTCTTAGTCCAAAGAACCTGCTTCACTGAGCTTATTGAATTCTGCTTTAGCAAGACCGTGAAACAGGTCTAGCATCCTCAGTGCCTTCCTAAGGTCAGTTACACAGTTGGCAAGTGATGGATGCTGGATTAAGACACGAGGGACCTCAGTCCAGGCCCCATCTTTTAATTGCCATTCTGTATTGCTTCTTGCTGGGTAATATTGCCACTCTTTATCCTCAACTTCTGGCTATTTTCTCAATAACTTTCCTCTTTCTAAGTGGTAAATACTTTGTTTCTTTGAACAAATTCTAAGAGTTTTATGTCCATATAAACTATGACTATAACAATTTGAAATTAATTTTGTGTGAAGTTGGTGAGTGCCTAAATGTATGCTGGTTAAAAAGTGAAAACAAAAATAAAACATATATACATGTGACCCGTGGACACACCATGGAAAAATAAATAAGTAGGTGACAGCTTCCCAAAAGGTGATTATGTGGAAAGTATATAGCGTAATGTACTCATTTTCCAGGCGAGGAGGAGTGTCTGGTCTCCACTTCACGCTGAAAAATATCTCCCACCCTTCCTACTTGCTTTTGAGTCATTTGAGCCATGAAACAACAGGTATTTTTGATTTAATAAAAAGACTGGCTCCAGTATTTTCAACCTTATTTCTAATGACAATAACCTTCTTCATTGTTGCTAAGTTATCTCATCAAAGCATACACATTAGCACTTTGTCAATATTTCAGGTGAAATAAAAACTATACAAATATGTAACCAATGAAAATTTTGTCTGCAGAATGTCCTGGAATTTTCGAAGTTCTAGCACTCTCTGCAGTTCTTCAACTAGAGAAGACGTTAAAGGTCCACTTGCATACATCTTCCTACATCTATCATATTCTCAGACTTGTCCTGGGCATTTGAAAAAAAGAAGTTGCTGATACAGTCCAGAATAAAGAATATGAGTGAGAAGTCAGTATATAAACTGAAATCAAGTTGCAGGAAATAGTGTAATAGCCCCTTGACAAAGATTGGTTGTTTTCTGGCATGTAAATGTGCTTTCTTATTTTAAAAATAAATAAGCTTTTACTTGACAAAGCTCCTACACTTTCCAACATTATTTTTCAGTAGTGGATGGAAAATAAGTGTTGATTTTTCTTTCTATAAATGGACCATTAAAATCCAAGGGAGGACTTCAAAATACACATGCAAATAATATTAATTTTAAAGTAGAGGCACTGCACACTGAGAAGAAAATTGGGAAATGGCTACTTAAATGTTAGCAATTTACAACCAAGAGGGCCTGCATACTGATTGGGAAGGCAGACGCTTGAATAGTATCAAGATATAAATAGAACTGATCAAACTGAGATAACAGGAAAGGTAGTCACATAATTATAATATAAACAGTATAAATAATACCAACTATTTGAAGGTAAAAAGCATGTGCTTAATCGTACTTATTTAAAAGAAAATAGGTCAACCAAATGAAAAGAAAAGGCGAAAAGTGACTGGATGAGCAAGCCTCTTCACTCCCCAGACCTCCATCATCTCTTCTGCAAAATGAAGGGATCAGGTGAAATGATCTGAATATCAGAGATTTATAACACTTTAATGATTCTAAAACTGCCTTAAGAACTGCACAGTAAATTGTGGAAGAATAATGATTCTGAATTTCAGATCTGGTTAAATGCCAGTCTTTTGCAAATATGGGACACTTAACTCTCTCTTTTGCAAAAAATACATTGATGTGAGAAATCATCTGCCAAAATATTATGAAATTCAATCAATAAAATATAGATGCAAATATGTTTTGAGTTTAGAAAGATGATTTAGATATCATGAGTTTAAAATGAAAGTATTAAACATTCTAGAGTTTTAATCCAGAAATAGTAATTTAAAAGATGGCTAGCAAGTTAATATTTTATAAAAATGCAAATTAATTTAATAGTATTATTCATAAAGCAATCTACATATGTAATTTGATATTATATACAAAACAGTATCTATTATTTATATGGACTATAACTTTAAGATAGGTCCTTCATTTCTTCTTACCTATTTACTTTGCAGTTTCTTTAAGCAATATTTTAATGCTCTTAGGTGGAATATTTACTATTATATATAAATGTATATTTTTGTGTGCTTATTATTTTATTTTGTTTTAAATGAAGGAACAAAGAAGAGTAAAACAACTGTTTACTTCTATATTTTCTGGCAAAGTTTCTTAAAATTCTTAAAATTACTTTTGGTTTCCCCCTTTTTAAAACTATAGTATTAAATTATCTTGAGATTGCTAAAATATTAACATTCATATTACATTAATAACACCTCATCTTCTCCTTCAAGAAGCCTACTTCTCTATAAATATCTATCTATTCCTCATATAGATTTCAAGTTCCCTCTCACACCATCTTTTTCATTCCTTTTTTCTACTACTTCTGACAGGACCAAGGGTATAACCTTCTATTACCATACATGGTTCCTCTGAAAACTCTTTGATGGCTTACTCTTCTTTGACTTATCGGACTTAACTTGGTGCCTCACATGTAGTGTGAGTTTTTAATAAATGTTTGGAGAATCTCACTAATATGGAGAAGAAATATGAGAGTGTCTCATGTATTAAAACAAAATGAAGTTTTAAAGCCATATTTTTGTATCAACATCATATTAAAATGTTGTAGAAATTGATCAAATGGCCATTATTTTCCTTTTGCAGGCAACTAAGACAATCATGGGGATCACACTGTGTTCCTTCCAGAAATCCAGAAAGCCTCAGGTATTTGCTAAAGCCTTTTGTTAATTACAAAATGACATGAGTTATTTTTATAATTAGAACAGTCTGTGGAATAGAGGATATATCTAATGCTAACTAGAATTTATTTTAAAAATTCTTACTCTTTACAACTAGTTTCAACATACAATAATAGGTATTTTTTTCCTGTGAAATTGAAAAACTGAAAGAACCCAAAGCAGGTGTGGGAAGAAAATATTGTAGAAAATTGTCCAGGGAAAATGTAAATGTATAAATAAAGAGTTAAAGTTTAGTAACTTTTCTTTTCTAAACATCTAACTCAAAAACTGATTGTGGAAATTCGAATTGCAGATAATGTAGCTAATCTAGTAGAGATCTAATGCAGAAATAATGTACATATATGAGTTTGCATGCAAACTAATGCATACCCACAAGGACTCATATAAAAGCAGTCTGAGGAAAGCTTTAAAAACCTGCTAGTTAATCCAGAGTGAAAGTAGACCAGAAAAAAATACAGTGGTGTGACACTGTCAAACAAAGCAGGTCACTGACCAAAATGTTTACAGTGACTTTGTGTAGACATAGCTTAAACAAATGTCTCAAGATCAAATGAAATGACCCAACTGTAGACTATGGGACTTTGTGTGTTCAGGGTGGAGAGTGAGACACACACACACATACATACATACACACACACACACACACACACACACACACCCCTCTATGAGAGATTTCCATTAAAAATGATAATACTCCTAAACATCCCCTGAGAAGTGAACTGCATATTTATAATCAAGCAAAGGTTTTAAAGCATTTGTTCTAAAATTCGTTAGTGAGAATTATTAGTCTATAACCTCTTGTGCATTTACTCCATGTTGAATGTGCAGCTCTTAACTGAGTGTAACACAGTAGGTGCTCAATAAGTGTTTTTTGCATTAATATAAATATAATGATATGTAGAGTCAAGGAATAATCTTTGAGCAAGCAATTTTGTATATTTCTATTAGTAAGAAAGGCAAATTACATAGCTATTGAAGAATTAGACAAATTTTACTAGAAATAACACATGTTCAATTATATTCATAGAAGAACTATTTTTAATTATGAAATACAATTGAAACAATCTAAATGTATATCATCTGGGAGGAGATTCTACAATAGCATTGTAAACCACCAGAGGAATACTGTGCAATCGTTAAAATGCATGGTTAAATTTATATTTATTGATGTGGAAAAATATTCAGAATATATGGCTAATAAAATAGGAAATATTGTATAGTGATTAAAGATAAGGGCTCTTGGAGTCAGTTGGCTTGGGTTCACAGTCCAGTTCAGCCTTTCTGCTGAGTGGCCTTAGGCAAATCACTTCATTTTTTATACTTCAGTTTTCTATTGAAAAAAATTGCTACATTATTTGTATAACCAAGTACTAACCAGTAATTTTAAGTAACTTTAAATTTTTAAATAATTTTAAAATAATCTTTTAAAATGTCCTCTGCTTGCAGCCAAGCTGGTACTGGCAAAGACAATGATAATTCTCGTGAGAAAGGTAATCTTGGTGTGGTGAAGAGGGTTTGCATGGAATCAGAAGAATGGGCAAAGGTTCCTCTGCAAGGTGAGTTCATGACCTGCCCCTAGGTAGGGTCTTCAACTAATCATTCATTTTGGGAAAAGAATGATGAAAGTAACATTCATTTTATTAATTTGTACCCAAAAGGCTCTTGGTTCCTTAATCCAAAATTTATCAAGAGCCTATGTAGGTGATGCTGATTGCATACCAAAGAACTACTGTGAAATATGCCTTGCTAGCATGAGGTTATCCTGACATTATCAGCTACTTTAAATAGACACTTTTCTGTAGCTTCTAGAATGCTTAAACTACTAAACAAATTGCTGTAAAGGTTAACTTAATTGATTCCAAGAAAGACAAATAACTCCCTAGCTGGGAGCACCCATGTGAGAACAATAAAAAGCAAGCTCTCTTTCTACCTCTGGTAAGTTAAAGAATAACACGTTTCAGCAGCATTTTCAAACATTTGCATTTGCATAAAGCCACAGATCAGAAGAGTGACTTTTATTGCTTTACAATTCAAAATCTACTCTCATTCACCATTTCAGTTATTATAACAGATGTTCTGATCCTCATTCCCAGGTCACTGTGTACAGTGTACATGTTTATATAATTACAAGAAAAAAGAGGTTAACACATTGTGCCTCGTCCAATCCTGTCAAAATGAACCCATATAACGCTTCACACAGGGGAACAGCAAAAGAATAAATGCAAGCACTATAAATATACATAAGCCACAACTGAAACGGTTTCCCAACCCAACTTTCAAGAATGGATTTCTCCCAATAGACACATAAGAGCCAACATATATCCTTATCTGCCTAGTGTGACCTAGTTGAAGGCAGCCTAGAGGCAGAGATGGAATTTCCACTACATTTGTAGGATGTCATGCATATTTATTTAGGTTTTAGCAGAGGACAACAAATATCTCATATTCCTAATTTGAGTAAAAGCACCATTTGTTTTTCTTCTCACATACCTGTTTGTGACACAGAAAGCGTGGCACAAAGTACACCTCAGAGAAAAGCTAGAAAAGGTTATTTATGGACAAATTCATGGAATAAAGATACTGAGAAGACAGTACAAACTTAAACAAAGCCATTTTTCCTCTAATGCAGGAAAAGGCTTGGGATGCTAGGTACACTGATTGCATCTAAATCCACCTGAGTTTTCTCTGGTACCTTTTGTTTGCATTTTATATATTTAAGTGCTAATACAAATATAAGGTGTCTAAGCATAGTATACCATACTTATATGAACTCACAAGAAAAATTAAAAGTCATCTTACTTATGATAAGTGCTTAACAAGGAGGTGGCTCAGAGTCTGGGGTTCTAGTCCTGTTTCTGCTATTATTAGCCAACTGAACTTTAAGCAAGTTAGTTAAACGTTCTTGGCTTTAGTTTACCTAGCTGTGATCTGAGGAGCTTAAAGGTCTCAAGAGAAAGAAGGCTCATGCTGTTCTATCTAACTCCAGCGCCCAGCACAATGCTGAGCACATGAAAGATACTCAATGATTCCAATATTCATGGAAATGAATGAGGTCAGTATTTAACAGATCAGTGAATAAAGGTACCCATAAGACCCTTGCCAATCTAATCTATCTATGACATTAGGTGATTAATTTTCATAACAAACGACACGTTTAAAATTAAATCCTATTTCTGAGAAGAATGTGTATTTTCTGAAATGGATAATCACAGTGTCTAGAAAGTAATATTACAGCACCACAACCTAAGTCCCCTGTCAGCCCAGTTTGAGTCATGTACCTGTCTGGAGGAAGCAAAGTTAATATAATGACTTAGCTGAGTCATCCAGTGAGAGCCCAGTAATATGGGCAAAGTTGGAGACCTCATCTGTGATCAAATTTCCACTGGTGGTGACTTAATTAACCATTGACCTTGTACTGAACAGCAAAAATCATAACTATGGATTTCTGTCAGCCTACTGCCTTTCTTGTTAATGCCACATCTTACCCAAGAATAGGAAGTGAGCTCTACTTTCTAGAAACAGAAATGTATTTGAAATAATCCAGTAATTATATTTCTACCCTGTGATATTATTATGTTAATCAGTTGCTCTCTACAAAGTAATTCTCTATGGCTTTTATTCAAGGTTAGAAAAAAATGATTAAAAAGAAATAACACTGATTTGAGCCTCTACCAAGGTCATCATTGAAGGTATATAGTCACCTTCTAAATATCTACATAAAAGGAAAAAATGTAGTTAAAGTGTTTTTGTTTGTTTGTTTTTTGGAGACGGAGTTTTACTCTTGTCACCTAGGCCGGAGTGCAATGGCACGATCTTGGCTCACTGCCACCCCACCTCCTGGGTCCAGGGTAGTTAAAGATTTTAAAAATCAGATCCAACATGTAGCAATTTAAAATATAATCATTTAAGCTTTTTTTATTTTAAATACCTGTGTTAATATGGATAGATATAATTATTTAAGCTTTATTTTATTTTAAATACCTGCGTTAATATGGACAGATATTGGAAAGAAGACGAAGAAAAAAAGGAAAGAAAAAGGAAGAGAAGGAGGAAAGTAAGAAAGAGAATACAGAAGAACTAATGAATCCAGAGCACTTGGTAATTAACAGTTTCCATAAGCATGCATGGATTCACCACTGGGTAAGGAAAGTATCAGTACTGATCCATTTTTCAGATGAGTAATCAAATCTCATTCAGAGAAATTAAGTAACTTGTTTAAGATCACACAGCAGGGATACAATATAGCCAGGACTTAAATTCAGGCCTTCTGAACATAAGCATCAAGCCTTTCCTTTGTATTTCAGCCACAACATATGCATTGTGTTGAGAGGTGGTAAAAAATATAAATAGATTTAAGGAATGAAAATAGTAACAATTTATCTGTCATAGGATGATATCCAGCCAAAAGATAGGTGTCAAAATTAATGAAATTGTTTCATTCACTAATTATGTAAGATTCCAAAAATCATTAGCAAGGGTAAATCCTTCCCATTTTACTATATTGTTCTTGTCGTTTCTCCAAATTTCTACACCTATTTTAAATTTGAAGATTCAAGCTACCTGCTGGTTTGGGGACTTATATTTAATTGTGCCTAAAAAGGGAAGCTAGTCAATATTATGTTTTAAATGTTACTTATTACTACGAAGAAAATAAGATATCATATCTTGCTTAGCAAAGAGCAGGAAAAAATGTTCATCATCAAACAGGTCATTACATATCTAAATAAATTATTGGCTTTTTAAACTATCATTATGTGGATAATTAACCAATCTTCTTGTCTTCTAACAGCCCTTCAAATAGCATAGTTTATCATCCTCGGCTCTGAAACTTCCCTGTGGCCATTGATTAAAATGAATAAAATGAGTGTTACAAAATTTGGAAAATGGCTATTCTTCTCAAAGGCTGTATTTACTTCTGTTAAATTCCAACAGCACTTAAAGCTATGGCATTCATCACTTAATTATAGATCGTCTTGCCTTGTTCTTTATTTCTGTCATAGTTTCATGTGTATTAAATTAGGCTCCCAAGAAATCTCATGACTGCAGAAGGGCAAATGGAAGATGCCTAAAATTTTTAAAATTGATTTACTGTTGGCTGTCAATATCATCCATTGGATATATCCATATACATGCAGCTGGTGTTGTAATTATATATTATATGTTATATTTCTATTTTTAAATACTTTAATTTTAGGAACAGAGAATTTAAGCAGAGTTTTCAAATGGTATTAATGTTTTAATGAGAAACAAAGGGTTCAATCTGCTTTTTAATTTTCTGGGATAATTTGTAACTAACCTTTTCTACTCCTAACAAAGATAAATCCTCGAAAGAATTTTAATTTTAGTACAGTGCTAGTATGCTAATATATATTTTCAGAAAAGTTATAAAGACAAAACTTTTTTACTTTATATGAGTATTATCAAAGTAATTATTATACTTTATATTTACATGTTATATGGGCACAGTACCCCCTCACCACTAAAATCTACTCTGAATAGAAACTGCAGTTGTAAACCTTAAAAAAAAATGCATGCACATAATTCTTTTTTCTTATTCTTAGCAATTATAAAAGTAGTTATGAACAAGATTGCTGGCCAGATGTGTGAAATTCCTGGTTGTTAAAGCCCCAGCTCATAGCCTCTTCTTTAATGAAATATGTCACACAATACATAGTTCTCTAATATCATTTAACCTATAAATTGTGCTTCTGACCCTTTCATCACTCAAACAGAGAATACAAAGAATAGAATTCATTATAAATTCATGGAGCTCCTAAAACATGAAAAGATACTAGTTATAATTCATTCATGAGTTATTTTCAGTTTATGAAGTTCTTGCCAAAAGAGAGTAAGAAGCAAAAACATGTTAAATCATAAAATTATATTCAGACTTTGCGGAGAGTAGCCTTTAAGTTTTTTTCACAAATAGCTTTAGACCCAATCTCACTCCATTCTTAAAATTAGGTAACTCTTCTTTCTCATCACATGAACTTCAGTAGCCCAACCAAAATTCTTGCTTTCCAAATCGTGGTTATTTATTCCTCTCTCCTCCAATGATCTACAAGACTCTGTCTTATCCACCAGCTCATACTTCTATCCTCTTTCTTCAGTCCTCTAATAAAATTCTCACCTCCTTCTAAGGTTATTGTGATTAAGTTAGGTAAATTAACTACATATCCCCTTTGGCTTGATGTCAACATAAGGGAACTTGTGAAATTCTACTGTATTCAGTTGATACTGTGGGTGTATATGTTGATTATTTACTCTCTTAGGTCTATTTTACATCCAGTGTTTTCAGGTATATGATAAGATCTTTAAGATTAGGGATTTTGTCATTGATTTGACTTATGTCTGTTCAAAGGAAGATTATATATTAAAATAATAATTTGGACCCTCAAAAGGCAAATTAAGGCAACAATCGAATGTAGTCAACAAGAAGTAGGTTGAGCATTTCTGTAAGACCCTGCTATAAGAAAGTAGAAGATATAGAGAAGATAGAGATGATAATCTTGTTCCAAAAAACAATTCTGTTTGATTAGAGCTATGACTAATATGATGCAAATCACTCAACAATTCAAATAAAAGTTGACTCCATATTATATTGAACATTGTCCTTTGGGAGAAGTGTGAAAGCAGGATTGTTTCTTTCTATACTGATTCTAGTTAAGCACTACTTACTGGCTTTTTATTTTATTCTAGAGTTATATAACAAAACAAGGAAGGGTGCAGGTACAAAAGTATTCTGAGTTGCTTGACTCCAATCCAGGCACTGAAACATAGACCTTCTGCAAGTCATATAACCAATGAACTCAAAGTCTTCATTTGTAAAGTGTAGGGAGATACACTGTATAATCAATAAATTACCCTCCATTTCTTTAAAAAAAAACTAATCATTCATTCTCTCCCTCTGATAATCAGTATAATTCAAATTTTTAAAATGTAAGAAATAATGAAATAATTTCTGCTTAAGAGGTATTATCTAGTATCTTAGACTATTAGAAAAAGAAGAATTGTTTTTCTGCTCAGTAAGGTAAAACCCTATTTACTGTATATATACAATGAAAGTGCAGAACATACTCTAAGACCAAACACATGCTTGGTCACAAAGCAAGTCTCAATAAATTCGAAAAAAATTGGAATTATGCCAACCATACTCTCAGACCATAGTGGAATAAAAATCAAAATCAACACCAAAAAGATCTCCCAAAACTACAGAATTATACAGAAATAAATAACTACAACTTGCTCCCAAATGACTTCTGCATAAACAATAAAATTAAGGGAGAGAACAAAATATTCTTTGAAATAAATGAAAAGAGATACACAACATATACCAAAATCTCTGGATGCAGAAAAACAGAGTTAAGACTAAAGTTTATGGTGCTAAACACCTACCTCAAAATGTTAGTAAGATCTCAAATAAACAATTTAACATCACTCCTAGGGATAATAGAAAAACAAGAACTAGCCTAAGCTAGCAGAAGAAAATAACTATAATTAGACAGGAACTGAATAAAATTAAGACCCAAAGCCCATACATAAAAAATCAATAAAACTAAAATTTGGTCCCTTGAAAGGATACACATGATCAATAGATTGCTAGCTAGATTAACCAAGAAAAAAAGAGAAGCTCCAAATAAGCATCATCAGAAATGTCGAAGGTGGCATTACAACTGACCCCACAGAAATACAAAAGATCCTCAGAGACTATTATGAACACCTATATGCCTACAAACTAAAAAATCTATAGGAAATGGATAAATTCCTGAAAACACACAACCTCCCAAGACTGAATCAGGAAAAAACTAAAACCCTGAACAGATCAACATTGAGTTCTGAAATTGAATCAGTAACAAAAACTACAAATCTAAAACACCCCAGACCAGATGGCTTTACAGCCAAATTCTATCAGTTGTAAAAAGAAGGGCTGGTACTAATTCTACCAGAACTATTCCAAAACATCAAGAAGGAGGGATTCCTCCATAACTTATTCCGTGAAGCCAGCATCATTCTGCTACCAAAACCTAGCAGAGACACAACAAAAGGAGCAAAACTACAGCCTAATATCCCTGGTGAACACAAACATAAAAATCTTTGCAAAATACTAGCAAACTGAATCCTTTAGTACATCAAAAAGTTAATTCACCATGCTCAAGTAAGGTTCATTCCTGAGATACAAGGTTGGTTCAACATATGCAAGTCAATAAATATGATTCACCATATAAAAAGATTTAAAACCAAAAACCATGTAATCTCAACAGACACAGAAAAAGCATTTGATAAAATCCAACATCTCTTCATGATAAAAAAAAAAAAAAAAAACTCAACAAACTAGGCATCAGAGGAACATACTTCAAAATAATAAGAGCCATCTATGACAAACACACAGCCAACATCATACCAAATGGGCAAAAGTTTGAACCATTCCCCATAAGAACTGAAGAAGACAAGCTTGCCCACTCTCATCACTCCTATTCAACACAGTGCTGGCTGTGGCTAGGCCAGTAGTGGAAGTCCTAGCCAGAGCAATCAGGAAAGAGAAATAAAAAAAAGGAATACAAATCAGAAAAGAAGAAATCAATCTGCCTTCACTGATGATATGATTCTATGCCTAGAATACCCTAAAGACTTCACCAAAGGGCTCCTATAACTGATAAACAATGTTAGTAAAGTATCAGGATACAAAACCAATTACAAAAATCAGTAACATTTTACACACCAATAATGTTCAAGCTGAGAGCCAAGTCAAGAATGCAATCCCGTTTACAATTAGCTTAAAAAAAATCCACAAAAAACAAAAACCTTCAACTACATGTAACCAACAGGGTGAAAGTTCTCTACAAGAAGAACTACAAAACACTGTGTAAAGAAACCACAGGTGACACAAACAAATAGAAAAACATTCCATGCTCATGGATTGAAAGAACCAATATTGCTAAAATGGTCATACTGCCCAAAGCAAGTTACAGATTCAGTGCTATTCCTTTCAAACTACCAATGCCATTTTTTTACAAAACTAGAAGAAAACTATTCCAAATTTCACATGGAACCAAAAAATAGCCCAAAAAGCTAAAGCAACCCTAAGAAAAAGAACAAAGCCAGGAGCATTACATTATCTGACTTCAATCTGTACTATAAGGCTACAATAACCAAAAGAGCATGGTACTGGAACAAAATCAGCCACAAAGACCAGTGGAAAAGAACGGAGAACCCAGAAATAAACTTGCATACCTACAGCCATCTGATCTTCAACAAAGTTGACAAAAATAAGCAATGATAAAAAGGACTCCCTATTCAATAAGTTGTGTTGGGATAGCTGGCTAGCTATATGAAGAATAAAACTAGATTCCTACTTTTAACCTTACATAAAAATTAACTCAAGACAGATTAAATATTTAAATGTAAGACCTTAAACTGTAAGAATCCTAGTAGAAAACCTAGGTAACATCATTCTGGACACTGGCCTTGAGAAAGAACTTATGATTAGGTCCTCAAAAACAATTTCAACAAAAACAAAAATTTACAAGTGGGACTTAATTAAATTAAGGAGCTGCAGCACAGTAAAGGGAACTATCAACAGAGTGAACAGACAACCTACAGGATAGAAGAAAAGAATCACAAAATATGCCTTTTACTAAGTTCTAATTCCAAAATCTATAAGAAGCCTAAACAATTGAACAAGCAAAAAACAACCCCATTAAAAAGTGTGCAAAAAAACATGAACAATTTTCAAAAGAAGACATACATGTGGTCAACAAGCATATGAAAAAAAGCTCAATATCACTGATCATTAGAGAAATACAAATCAAAACCACAACGAGATACCATCTTACACCAGTCAGAATGGCTATTATAAAAAAGTATAGAGGCTAGCAAGGCTGCAGAGAAAGGGGAACGTGTATACATTGTTGGTGGGAACATAAATTAGTTCAGGCATTGTGGAAAACAGTTCAAAGATTTCTCAAAAAACTAACACACAACTATCATTTGACCCAGCAATCCTATTACTGGGTATATATCTAAAAGAAAAGACATAGTTCTACCATGAAGACACATGTACTCGTCTGTTCATTGGAGTACTATACACAACAGCAAAGACAGGGAATCAACCAAGGTGCCCATCAATAGGGGACTGATCAAGAAATATAATACAGGTACATCATGGAATAATCTGTAGCCATAAAAAAGAACAAAATGGTGTCCTTTGCAGCAGCACGGATACAGCTAGAGACCATTATCTTGAGCAAATTAATGCAGAAACTGAAAACCCAATACCACATATTTTCACTTATAAGTGGGTGCTAAATATTGGATGCTCATGGACATAAATATGGAAGCAATAGACACTGGGAACTACTAGAGTGGGGATGGAGGGAGGGAAGGGGACAAGGGTTGAAAAACTAACTGTTGGATACTATGCTGACTACCTGGGTGATGAAATCATTAATATCCCAAACCTCAGCATCACATAATATAGCCACATACAAACCTCCACATACACTCATGAATCTAAAATTAAAATTAAAATTATTTTTAAATTGTACAATTTAATGTTGAAAAATAGTGAATTGAGCCCTAAAACATAAAATTATGATGATCACTTTCCACAGGAAAGAGAAAATTAACTGACCAAAATGAGGACATAATAGCCTCTGGTGTTAAAAAACTGCTACTTGCTTTCTTTAGCAGGGAAGAAATAATTTTACTTTAATTGCTGACTACTGAATTCCTTGTGGTGGTCCTATTTGGCTCTGTTTAGTGAAAGTCATTGTAGAATACTTTTTTTTCCTTTTGGTTTTCCTTTTCCTTTTTTTTAAATTTTTTTTCTTTCTTTTTTTTTTTTTTTTTTTATTAAGGAAGAGAGCCCTGGAGCAAGACAAAAATGTAAAATAATATTTAGTGAGAGCTTTCTACCACACCATGCTTTTCTAAATGCTTTACATTCACCAATTCATTACAAGCTTGCAAAAAAACAAATAAAAATGTAACTGGGGAAAAGAAAAGTAAGTTTTCTAAGATTACAAAGCTAATAAAGTAGAGGAAGACTTGCACCAATAAAGTCTCAGTCTGGAGTATGCATCTTTAAATACTGAACTGGTGTTGCCCGCAGGATGAGTTGAGACAAAGGAAAGACAAACAGTTCTGCTAACAACGTATTAAAGGAGGTTGTAGACAAGGGCAAATGAACTAGGAAGAAGATTGAAAAGGGGGTATTGAAGTGACTAGCTAGCTCAGCAACAAGCCAGGTTTATATACAAGCAAGAGAGAATACAAGTGAAAATGCAGAAGGAAAGAGAGAGAGCATTATCCAAATGACTTTTAAAAATAGAAAGGCTTACTATTCAGTTCAGTTGAAAAGTTACTAAACATTTTCTAGCCATACAATCAGTCAGTACATTCTGTCATAACTGATGTCTTTGTGTGGGTGGTATTTGGGATAATCAAGGACTAGAGATTTTGTTCATATTTGGGGTGATGTCATAACAGCTGCCCGACCAGATTGAGATGAGAGAATTCAGAGAAAGCAACTATAGCCAGAGGTGACTCAGTAAAATACCAGCGCCACCGCAGGACAGAATCCTCAAAGATGTTGAAAAGGGCTGAGTGGCCCTGATGACATCTTGGTTATTCTTCAATGCTGTCTTTTTAACAACTCTTCTACTAAAAACAGAGAACGTCCTTGCTTTGAAATGGAAGAAAAGGGTGAGGCCAGGGGCACAGAGTATGCACAGGAATGCTGCAGGAAACCAAATGGGCTCTGAAGGCTTCACATTAACTTTGTTTAAAACTGAAGAAGTTCTAAATTAATTCATTCAACAAATTAGTATTCAGAATCTTCTTTGTGTCAGAGAATAGAGCATTGAACAAAACAGACAAAAATTCCTGTGCTCATGAGGTTTACATTTCAATGGGCTTAAATTCTGATTCAGTATTAACTACTAAAGACCTTAAATAATGGTGAACCAAACCCTGTCTTTTCAGTATACACTAAAATCAACACAAAACTTAAGTTCAGATAGGGATTTATTTAAATTTACATAGATACTTTAAAAATTATGTCAACTTTTATTGAGATTCAGGGAATACATTTGCAGGCTTGTTACAAGGGTATATTGCATGATGTTGAGGTCTGGGTACAAATGATTCTGTCACCCAGGTAGTAAGCATAGTACCTAACAGGTTTTCAACCTTTCTTCCCCTCCCTCCTCCTCCCCTCTATTAATGTCTACTGTTCCCAAATTTATGTTCATGTATACCCAATATTTAGCATCCACTTATAAGTGAGAACATGTGGTATTTGGTTTTCTCTATCAATTCACTTAGGATAATGACCTCCAGCTGCATCCATGTTGCTGCAAAGGACATAATTTTGTTGTTTTCTATGGCTGCATAGTATTTTATGTTGTATATGTACCATATTTTCTTTATCCAATCTACCATTATTGGGCACCTAGGTTGATTCCATGCCTTTGCTATTGTGAATACTGCTGTGATTAACATATAAGTGCATGTGTCTTTTTGGCAGATTAATTTACTTTCCTTTGGGTATATAGCCTGTAATGCGATTGGTTATTCAAATGGTAGTTCTATTTTTAGTTCTACATAAAGACATTTTAAAAAAGAGTTACCTACTTTGGCTATACTGCTCCAGGGATCACTGCATTTTTATTGAAGAAAAGTACTCCTGGGTTCTAGAAGAGCTTTAATTGCTGCTTCCATTTCTTTCTCCATGCAGTTAAAACATTGCCTCTATTTAAGGGTTTTTATGATTACTTTTCTGAGAAAGTAGTCAAAAGTAAATGAGGTGCTACTAATTAACTCTAATCTAAATCTAGAGTATCATCAAGCCCACTTCCCATAGACACCAAATTATAAATTTCATTCACTCACCCTTTAAGAAAGAGTTTATGCTTCCCATTTTGACTATCTCTTGATTCTTCCTATCATCTATTAAAATGTAGAAGATAATACCAACCATACAATACAGAGTTGTTGTGATCTCACAGGATAACACAAATTAGATGACCTAGAATGCTAGACCCTAGTTAAAAAAGAAAAAACAACTGATACTTCTTAGAAGTTAAGCCTCTCAGGTAAAAAGGTAAATTTCTAGGTGATGGTTGTTAGCAAAGATATAAATAATGAAAAAATTAGCTGAATCCTGCGTGACACCATTCATTCATTTATTTTGCCTGAGAGGAAAAAAAAAAAAGGACACAGCAAGAAAAAAAAAAAGGATTAGTTTAAAAACAATTCTGCAAGGGTCAGTTGACCACTGATAATGTCTTGGTGGCATGATAACCCAAAGGCCTTGTGAAAATATGAATGCCTGAAATCAGTTTAAAATTTGAAGTTGTTTGCTCTGTGATTCATGAGGCTAGAACTCCTGGAGACCCTCACTCTGTTAGTAAAAGAAATTTTCCTCACAACATGCTTGCCTTCATGGATTTGCAGCTGAAATTTAAAAAAGCAAAAAAAAAAAAAAATTTTAATGAATTATATTTAGCTGAACACCGGGGCAGAGGTAAATAAAAGGGTATAAAACACATAGGAAGAAAACACTGGTATAGAAGAAAGTCAGAACCATAGGTGACCAAGAAAATATAAGGCCCATAAAAACTGGGTCTGTGACAGACTGATCTTAAGCAGATTCAAGGAGTTGGAGACTCCAGATGACTTCTAGCATTTATATGTGTATGAATATATATATATATATATATATACACACACACACACACACACATATATATATACATGCACAAATATATTTATGTGTATATAAATATGTGTTTATATATATGTCTGTGTGTGTATGCATACACATGTGTGTGTTTGTACCTGTGTGTGTGTATATATATACACATATAAAATCCCTATTCTTACATTCAAGAAAGTCATAGGACCATGCTAATATGGCTTGTTTTGAACTACATAGAATCTGGCATCATCTGGCTGGAATGTCAGCAATCTATGGCCCTTAGGCCAAACTTGACCAGCTATCTGTTTTTATAAATAAAGATGTATTGAAACACAACCACACTCATTGCCTTATATATTGTCTAAGACTACTTTTGTGCTTTTACAAAGCAGAGTAGAACAGTTGCAACAAACCATATACCCCCAAATACTGAAAGTCTGTAACTACCTGGTCCTTCACAGACAGTTTGCTAACTGATCTGTACATCACTCCCCTCCTTCTGTCTGTCTCTCCCACCTTTCTTCTCTCCCTGTTTTCCTCCCTTTCTCCTTCCATTTCTTGCCTTCTTCCTTTTTATTCCTTTTGGTTTTCATGTTTTTGACTGATCATCACATTGTCAAAAGTGGCTATTCTAAACTTTTTAGAATTTTAAAAGTTATTGAAAAGTCTATGAATGCCTACTTGAGGTTTCTCGGTACCTTAACCTCCCTCTTTTATTCATTTGTATATTCCAAAGCTTAGCCACCAACATTTGCCCTGATATAAGATCTTCCAGACTTTGCTATCTTGCCCACATGCTTATTTGTCTAAAATTTTTCTTTATTCTCCCTTAAAGTATAAAACAACATAAGAAAAAAAAGAGAAAAAAACACAAAAAGATGTCTCACCAATTCTGATTCCCTGTAATTCACCGCCCTATCTGCCTTCATCCATGCTTTTAAACTACAAATATTTCTTTAAACATAACTCATATGTCACTGCCTCCACTTTGTTACCATCCACTTACACTATAAATGCCTTCAACCTGGCTTTGCCTTGCTACTCCACTGAATTTTACTTAGAAGCTACCAAGAGCCAACTTGTCACCAATTTTGTTTTGTTCTTCATTAAGGTCTTTTTGGTAAGGGATTTTCTTATATCTTTATTGAAACTCTATACTCATTTTGTTTCTGAGACTAAAAATTCCACTAGTATTCAAGTAAAATACAACTTTTTCTCAAACATATGCTATATATTTCCTTGCCTTAAACCCATTTTATGGTTGTGCTTTCTTTGAAAAACTATGCTTTTTGTGTGGCACAAGCACTTTCTACTCCAAGTTGTGATATAATACATCCATCAAATATAACTCCAGGAGGATATGAAAATGTCTTTTTTATTCATTATTGTGTCTTGAGCATCAGTTACATGTTAAATACTAAATAACAACGGAATAGATGTATTTACTCTCTGAAAGAAAATTCGGAGATCATCTATTCCAACCCCATTGACTTTCCTATGTTGAGAAAATAAATTACTGATAAAGCCGGCACACTCAAGCCTGTTCCAGTGCTTGGTATAACATTTTAGTGCTACCTCTATTACATTACTAAATTGGCATGGAATGTTTTCCTTTTCAAGGTATCTTAAGAAAAGTAATAACTCATTTAATTAATAAACTCACTTATTACTTGTGGATTATCAGGAATTGTGAATTTAGGTTAATGTTTTATCCCAACACCTGACATTTCATAATACATTTTTTGTTTTTTACATATGCTTTTATTTCTTACAAGATTTTTTCATGTGATGTAAGCATCCCTGGATATATGTACATTTTTCATGGGGAGGCATATTCATTTTAGAGAAATACTTATAGCGCAATCTATCTGAAAATTCTGTAAAATTTTCCAATAGCATGAGAAAAAAGAAATATCCCCCAGATGTGATATTATACCTAAAGTAACATATGAAGCTGTCATCTGTTCAAAAACTAAACTTTGCTCATTGGGAAGTAAAAAATGAAAAAGTCAACTTTAATATTACTTGGAGTCATCTTTTGGCAGCGTAATCTATAACACCTAATTTTATGAGTTTGTATTGCCTCAAATATGAGCTCCCACACATCCTACTAAAATCTGTTGACTGCCTTTCTATTTTAGGCTCTGTAAAAATAGAAATACACTCTGTAGCTTGAAGAAGTTTATAATATTGTGAGAGAGGAATAATAGCATTAAGCAGCTGGGCTTTAGTTTTCACATCTAAAAATGGAGATGAAATTCCTGTCCTGCCTAGCTCATGGTATGTTTGAAAGAGTCAGAGGAACAGTGAAAGCACTCTGTAAAATATAAATAACTACAGAAATCTTAATTATTATTATTATGATGCTCATTACACGACAGCAAATTATTAAAGATCAGAATATATGAAACAAATAGTGAAGCTTTGGGAGAAATCAACTTAGAGCAGAGAGTTAGGGAAATCTTTATGAAGGAAGTTGCTTCTATTCCCATCATCACCTCCATCACTTTATATCCAGACTGGAAATTATCTATCAGTGATCTACTGCCCCCAGTTACTTCCTATTCTAAATCTATTATGCCAACACCAAACCAAGTTCTTACTTAGATCACAATCATTGTATCAAACACCTTCAAACACCCATAGGATGCCAGAAGCAATCTAAATTCCTTATTTGGAAATATCTCAGCCTTATCTCCAACTGTTCAGTTTTTCTAACTCTCCACTCCAGCTAAACTCCTGCAGCAACAATTGCCTATATCATTAATCTGGTAATTTGTTTTTATTTGTTCCAGCAAATAATTAATGTGGCTCATTTGACAATTAATCATGTGATGTAATTCCTTACAGCATCTGTTCTGCTGTTGCATCAAGCTGTTACTTATATTTTCATTTCCTTTATACAGTTGTCATTTTCTCATCTCTCAATGAGACATCAGTGGCCATTAAAAATTAAGTGTTTTAATCTTCCACTTCTTCCCACACCCAAACCCCCCAAAGTCATGAATATAATTTTGCTTCAATTCAATCCTAGAAATTTATTGCTGAACAATTCTGCAAAGCCCAGTCCTTCCTGCTAAAGAGAGATGATAGACGTAGTGCTTGTCTGTGAAAAAGCAATATATATATATATATATATATATATATATATATATGTGATATTAGTAATTCTATCCCATGACTTCCAGAATCGCTTTCAACACTGAAGGATACATTCCTTCAGCTGATGGAAATGTTGTCAGCTGGTCTTCCCAGGAATTGCCTCAGCTGAAGTTTTTTACCAAAGCATACCTCCTTTCTAGGTAACTCACATCTAATAACTGATCAATGCCAGGATGTCAGGATATAAGGACACAGATCCATCACCCCTACTTGTGACAACTGTGAAGGGGTCATCACAGCTTCGGAGCATTCCATTTGCCCAATCCTGCTTTTTTTCCATTTCCCTATAGAAATTCCTGCACAATAATATCCACTTCATAGTCTGCTTTCCAATTATATTAGTCATTTCTTTCATTGCTATAAAGTAATACCTGAGGCATGGTAATTTATAAAGAAAAAGTTTAATTTTGGCTCATGGTTCTGCAGGCTGTACAGGAAGCATGATGCTGGCATCTGCTCCTAGTGAGGGCATTAGGAAGCTTGCAATCATGGCAGAAGGCAAAGAGGGAGTAGGAAAGAGATTGAGGGGAGACCCCAGACTTTTAAACAACATCTCAGATGAACTAATTGAGCAAGAATTCGTTCACCAGCAAGGAGATGACACTAAGCCATTCATGAGGAATCTGCCCCCATGATCCAATACCTCTCATCAGGCTCCACCTCCAACATTGGGGATTACATTTCAACATGAGATTTAGAGGGGACACACATCCAAACCATATCACCAATGAATATAATCTCTGACTAAAAATGTAAAATAAATACAAAGCCCATTGTATTTCCCTTTTTCATTTGACTCCCAGAAACTCTTAGCTAAACCTTAAACTCAATTAAGGTTAATTGTTATTCTGTTTGCTTTATAGTCATTTCCCCACCATACTTCATTATTTCACTGTTAATATGTTAACAGTACATTTCTTATTGTTAACATCACTGTTAATCCACTTCTTCTATTTTAATATGGGACTATTATATACTGTTCTTATCAAAATCAGTCTTAAAACATTTTTTAAATATGTGAAAAGAAAAAAATAGTCTTGAGAGAAGAAAATGAGAGAAAAAATAACTTCCCCATAAAGAAGTATAAAATTCCACAAAGGTTCATAGTTTAATATTTCATTGGAAACATGAGAAATACCTCAATAAGTTGATTAGAGATGGCTCTTGAGATATGATTTGGCAGATAAAGAGTAGTAGATAATCTGCATGTGGGGAGGGTAGATAAGCTTGGAAAGAATCATGACCTGAGCTAGACCATAAAGGATGATCGGCATTAGAAGAGCAAAAAAAAAAGGAGAGAAATACTAAGTGGAAATTATAGTAAATCCAAGTTACAAAGGTAGAAATGACCATTATGTAGACTTATGCGGAAAAATTAAAAAAAAAATGGAACAAAAAAGATTCACCATTGCTTCTGAAATCAATGCTGCATCTAGAAAGTCAGAACCTTTCAGAGGATTCTGAAAAATACATTAATTTAAAAATGCAGGTCAGAAAAATGCCATATATATAATAAATATAAAAGTCCTTCGCTATTATTTTAATAGGTGTCCAAAAGCATCCTCTTTATTTCATAGAAAAGGATGATATTTTATTTTTCTGCATAGGGAGGTTTCTGCCTTCCGACCAACTTCTTACATGGTCCATGTGTTAGTCAGGGTCCAGGGAAGAGACACAAACCACACCAATAATTGAAGCAGGAAAAATAAAATTTCATGTAAAGAGAGTTATTAACTAGTAAAAGATAGTTAATGTCTAAAATGAATTTTTAAAAATCTAAAAAATATAGGCATTGCAGATTTAGGGAGAATATTGTACCTTAGGGTTAAGTGAGAAAACCCAAAGAAGGGGCCAAATTGTAAGCTCTCCCATCCCTCTTCCATAAAGATGATATTAAGATCTCGTTAGGAAGAGTATGACTACAGCACATAGGATGACAAAAATACGTGTGAGGGTATCCTGGGTCAGAGCTGGTGTGCTGAAAGCTGCCCTTCAGGTTGCCTACAATGTTCACTGAAGCACTGTGGGCTGGAACGGGTATATAGAAAGCTGCCTTCTGAATCCCATGGGATGGAGTCAGCCAATCACTGCTGGGGTGCTAGAGAAATTTTCCAGGGGTTGGAGAACACACTAAAGGCCAAGCACCACAGTCTCCCCACATACCTGTCCCCACAGGCATTCTACAAAGAAAAAAGGAATCATACCAGAACTTGGAAGAGAAGCCTTTTCCTCTGCTATACTGTACATTGCTCTCCAATGCCCTTTATTGACAAAACCTAACACTGAGTTACCTGACAAAGGAGAAATGTTTGTAGGGCCCAGCTTCAGTATCACAAAGCAGGAAAAAAGAAGAGTAGATTTGGAGCTGAGATGCCATAAGCAGATAACTGGTACAGTCCATCACAGAATTAACTTTGGTAAATGATATTATAAACAACAATAACAAATTGAGGAAAAACAAGCCTGAGTTTCCTTCAAATATACTATGTTTTTAAAATAAAGAAATATGCCTAAATGTATCCTGAGTATATTCCATAGACAGGAAAATACAGTTTTATATACAGTATGTAGTATAAAGCAAAGACAAAAATCACTCTACCTTTTGTAGTACATCAAATATTAAAATGTTATTTTATCCAGGTTATTATTAGTTTCCCCTTCAAGTAGGTAAACAAGTTGAATTAGTAAATAAATAATCCAGTTACCCACAATTCTTGAGTCCCAAATCTTTGTTTCCAAACTACTTCTCTCCATGGCTCCAGATATATTTAATCTATCAGCTGCTGGACATCTCTATTTTGATGTCCCAATCATTACTTCCAGCTCCAATGTCCAAATCTCAGTCATGAGCTAGTAAACCAGTTCTCAAAAAAATAAAAACCAATACTGAGCATATTTTCTGAGGTGTAAATGTTCTCAACATGGCCTCTTTCAAGCTATGAAAATTTAATAACCATTAAAACTATCCTCATGGATTAACCTGGAGGACATTATGTTAAGTGAAATAAACCAGGCACAGAAAAATAAATATGACGTGATCCCCCTCAGATATGGAATCTAAAAGAGTTGATCTCATAGATGTAGAAAGTAGAATGGTGTTTACTGGCAGCTAGAATAGTTGTGGTGGTGGGTGGGTGTTGGAGAGATATTGGTCAAAGGTTACAAAACTTCCGATAGGTGGAAAAAGTTCAAGAGATCTATTGTGCAACATGGTGGCTATAGTTAATAACATACTGTGTTTTAAAAATATTCTAAAAGAGGGTAGACGGTGTTGCCACCACAAAAGTAATAACTATGTGAGTTAATGCATAATTAGCTAGATTTAGTCACTCCACAATGTATACATACTTCAAAACATCATGTTATACATAAATCCATACAAAGTTATCTGTTGATTTTAAAATAAAAACCACAACAAACAAAACTGTTGCTAATTACCTGTTCAGTGTCATAGTGAATCGCAGCCCCCTCCACTCCACTATCCAAGCCAGAATGGTAGGTTTCATCCCATATTCTTCTGCCCATTCACCACCCAATCACTCTTTATTAATTATAAATGACATAATCATTATATTAATTCTTAAGCTTTGTTTTTCCCTAATCTGTCACTTGCCTTTATTCCCACTGCTACCACCTTACATTGTGCCATTTTTGTGTTTCCCTGGGCTCACTGGTATTCTTGCCTTCAGTATGTCTTTTCCACGTATTGTTCACTTAAGCTAGAATGATCTTTTTTTAAATATATACATATTTTTATTATACTTTAAGTTCTTGTGTACATGTGCATAATGTGCAGGTTTGTTACATATGTATGTATGTGCCATGTTTAGAATGATCTTTCAATGCACCCAAATATGGGCTGCTTCACTTTTTTTCTTTTCTTCTTTCTTTCTTTTCTGTGTGTGTGTGTGTGCGTGTGCGTGTGTGTCATGCAGTTTCCCTGTGTTGCCCAGCCTGGAGTGCAGTGGCTATTCACAGGTGCAATCATTGTGCACTACAGCTTCAAACTCCTGGGCTCAAGTGATCCTCCTGCCAGAGCCTTCCAACTAGCTGGGACTAGAGGTATGTGCCACCAGGCCTTGCTACTCCAACCTTATCTTAGAACAATTCTGTGGCTTTTTGATATGAACATAAAGATATTTATGGCTCTTGATAACCTTTCTACATTTATCCTGAATTGTACCCTGATCCTCCCCGCCCCTGCACACCTCAACCTGCCTCTTCTCCAGTCATTTTGAACTATTTGCAGCTCTCACATGTGACTGCTCTTTCTGGCTTTCAAGCTTTTACATATACATCTTTCCTTGGATTTGGTTGTTTTTAGTTTATGCTTTTTTCTATTTTTCTTATCGATAGCCTGATCAATTGTTTAATTCCTCCACTCTATTAGCTTCATAGTTGCATCTATTTACATTCTGATGATCTTTACATTTTAGGTTATATTCATATTTTACACTAACAAAATAAAAGACTAATGGAAATGTCTATTTTGCCCCCTAACACAAAGAGCTGAGAATGCTTGTACTGATCTTACCCATGATACCCTCTTATTCCTCTTGTATTATATTTTCCTCTTTATTTTAGCTGCCCCAAAGTTATTTTTGAGCCATTAATTATTTAAATTTGCCTATTTGTTTAGCAATTCTTTGTTCACCCTTGCTCATGTGTCACCTTTTCCACCTAGTTTCAATTTCTTCTTCCTGAAGTGCATTTTTTAGTAGTTCAGAGAGTGTCTGTGCATAGAAACCTCTGCAGTCTTTGTTGGCTTGAAAATAACTGTACTTTAGCCTCAATTTTCATCACCAATTTAGCAATTCTGATTTAGAGTTCTAGTTTGAAAATTACTCTTCTCAGCAGTTTGAAGATACCATTCTATTGTTTTCTAGCCTCCAATGTTGCTTTCTAATACCTGTTGTTCAACTAATTATAACTTATTTGTTCATAACATCAATACTTAAATTTGCTTTTACATAATCTGCTCAGAATTAACTGTGGTTTCCAATCTGAAAATTCATATATTTTATTAATACTGAAAATTTATCTATCATTAGCTCCTTAAATATAACTGCTTCCTCATTCTTTCTCTCAGCTCCTTCTGGAAATCCTATTTCAGATAGGTGGGTAGGTAGGTAGGTAAGTAGGTAGGAAGGATGGATGGATGAATGGATGGATGGACGGAGGGACAGACAGACGGACAGACAGATAGATTGATAGATTCTGTCATTTAATTCTCCGTATGTCTTAATTATCCTTTCATACTTTCTACCTCTTTTTCACTTGTGTCACATTTGGGGAATTTTCCCCAAGTTTTGTTTCTTGGGCATAGTTCTGTCCAATTGTCCCTTTAAACCATCTCTTATATTTCTAAATTTTAATATCTATAGTTTTCATTTCCAGCAGTTCTATTTTGTTCTTTTTCAACTTTGCCTGTTCATTTTTTCTTTCATATTCATTTTTAAAACCCTATTTTTATTTACATTTCTTAGTTTTTATACATATCAATCCATTCAACAAATTCTAGAATTATCCTCAACCCTGTGAATAAAATGGACAAAAAGATTCTTGCTGCCATTGAGTTTAAATCCATATTTCATGTTCTTTCCCAGATTGTCCCATTATTTCAGGTTCTCAGACATGGTTGCTGACTCTTCTGTTTTTGATATCTCTCTTTTTTTTTTTTTTTTTTTTTGTTAAGACAGAGACTTGCTCTTTTGCCCAGACTATAGTGCAGTAGCAGGATCTCGGCTCACTGCAAACTCTGCCTCCTGGGTTCAAGCAATTCTCATGCCTCAGCCTCCCAAGTAGCTGGGACTACAGGTATGTGCCACCACACCTGGCTAATTTTTTAATTTGTTTTTTTTTTAATTTTATTTTTAGTAGAGATGGGGTTTTGCCATATTGGCCAGGCTCGTCTCAAACTTCTGAGCACAGGCAATCCACCTGCCTCAGCCCCTCAAAGTGCTGGATTACAGGCATCTACTTATGATTTCTAACTCTCAGTGTCAATGACTTTTGTCATGGTGCAGGGTGGAGAGGGAGTTGGACTCATCCTGAGAGGGAATTTTTTCCCTATGGGTCTCTACTTCCAGGTAGCTTGGAAATGTTCCTTCAGAGCAGTTTTGGATTTGGCCCTTCCAGATGTCCAAGGTGTTTCATTGCCTCAAGATCACTTTTTATGTTACAATGTCTACTTGGAGATCTCTGTACCATGAGGAGAGTAAAATGTATACATTATATGCTGTGTAAAAACAAACTTTGAATTTTTATTTCTTAAAGAATTTTTTTTTTCGATTCATACTCTTGGGTAGAGTCAAACTTTTCTTTCTCTGAGTTATTTTTTAGTCTCTGTTCCATGGAAGACTCATCTATTTCAGGTTTTGGCTTTATGCAGGCGTTTCAGTTCCAAATTTATGCCCTACACTGACCTATTGCTTCTTATTCCTGGGTGAGAATAGAAGCACACATGGCTAGGTGTAGGCGCCCAGCTTCAGGACTAAACTCCCAAACCTCAACCCTAAAACCCAGCATTGCATTGTTACAGTAACTTGCAATGTGAATGAGTTGGCTTTAATCTCCCTCTTTTCTTTCCTCTAATTTTATATTTTAATAATAGTAATTTAAAAATATACTTCCTCCCTTG